>NC_000006.12:69277048-69580079 GCF_000001405.40 Homo sapiens | reverse complement strand
TTGAGACGGAGTTTCGCTTTTGTTGCCCAGGCTGGAGTGCAGCGGTGCAATCTCAGCTCACCGCAACCTCCGCGTCCCGGGTTCAAGCGATTCTCTTGCCTTAGCCTCCCGAGTAGCTGGGATTACAGCCATGCACCACCATGCCTGGCTAATTTTTGTATTTTTAGTAGAGACAGGGTTTCTCCATGTTGGTCAGGCTGGTCTCGAACTCCCGACCTCAGGTGATCCACCTGCCTCAGCCTCCCAAAGTGCTGGGATTACAGGCATGAGCCACCACACCCAGCCTGAGTTCAGAATTCTTTAGGTGGTTATTGCTACTTGATTTCTGGCTTCCTGATAAACTGTGCTATATAGGATAAAACAATATTCAAATGCAATAATGCATTTAGTATTTTCTCACTGAGATATTTACATTTGTTTTTCCATTTGCACTGTCAAAACATGAACTCTCATATGGGTAACATTGGACTATTTCACTAGCAAAAAGTGGTAAAAATATGCTCTGAACTAATTAGGTATAATGACCTAATCTAGAAAGGAAACTCAGAAAAATGCTACATCAATTCATCAATTACTTGCGTAAAACAGAGTTTTCTTCAATTTTACTTTTGGTAGTGACATACTCTTACTGCTATATTATATATTTATGTAGAGATACACAACAGTATCTAAAAATACATAAGGCTTGGAGTAAACTAAATTTTTAGTTTAGATCTCAGCTTACTACTTGTTGGCTTTTTGATCTTGGGCAATCTACTAATTTTCTCTGAGTGTCAGTTTTCATCTCTAAATTGGGGAAAAATTATATATGCATCAAAGATATAATTAAATGAGTTATGTGTGCTTTACCTTTTTTTCCTGTGGTCAGTGCATTTCCTTTGCTGTTTTTCATTTAACATCTTAATGTTTTACTTATTGATTTGTAATTGTGTTTTGTATACAATGCTAATAGCTCCTTGTTTTATTTGTTGTTGATGATTATTCAAAACTCATGGTCTTGCATTTTGCTTATATTTTAAAAGTGGACTTTTAGAATTTTGATGCTGCTGACAAAATTGCTCCATCCTCCCCAGATTATTTCCTCCATTGTGCCTTGTGTGAAAAAAGTCCTTCCTTAACCAGGGATCAGGTCCTCCCAGATAAACACACACACACACACACACACACACACACACACACACACACGGACACACATGCAAACAGACACACACAGATACGTATTTTTTTATTTTTATTCTTCAGTTTTACATCTCTTTCTTCAATTTAATTGTCATATATTTAGCATATGATGTCAGATAACATCTTAAATAAATGTTATTCCAAATAATTAGCTTACAATTTACTCAATGGCATTAATGAATAATCCCTTTACTTTTGCATGTTTTTGATATCATATATTATTTTGCTCAGATTGAATCTTAAGTGATTTTTTCTGTTGCACTGATTGCTCTGTTAGTTCTTCTGTCTGTTCTTCACTGTTTTTCTATGTTTATAGCAGGTTTCACCATCTGGTAGGGTCAATCCTTCTGCATTAGTCATTATCAAAATGTCGAGCATTTTGTCCTCCTGTTTTTCCAGATAACACTTTGGAATTTATGGAATATTTGAATAATTTTTGTTTGCGTGTTTTAAAAAACTAATGCATGCACATGGTAAAAAGGAAAAAAAAATAAGGTGGAAAATAAATATTTCTCTCAATCCTGATCCCCAGTTTTCCTTTGCCAAAGGTGAACTACTTGGTGGTTAAAAACACTGGCTCTTGAAACAGAATGACTGGATTCAAATTACAGCTTGCAATTGCTAGCTGTGGAACCCTAGGCAAATCACTTAAATGCTCTATGCCTCAGTTTCCCCACCTTCCAGATGGGGATAATAATTATACCTAACAGATGAATTGTTTCGATAACAAAATAAGTAAACCACTTAGAACAATGCCTAGTTCATTGTAAGTGTGCTGTAAAACTTAGCTATTTCTGTGACTAGCAAAAGTTTCTTGTAAATACTTCTAGAGATCGTCTATGCAGACAAAAGCACATGTGCTTTATGCAAACAAATGGAAGCAAAGTGTGTATATTCTTCTGTACCACTTTAAAAACATTAATAATGATGTAGATCATTCTGTATCAGTATATATCGATGTTTCTTATTTTTTCAAATTACTTCATAATATATCATTGTATAGATATAGTATTGTTTATGTTAAAGGTCTTGCTAGTGAAAATTTAGGTTGTTTCCAGTATTTTACTACTACAAACATTGTCGCAATGAATAATTTTGTCTTTATGTACCTGTATATTTGTTGATCAATTCCTAGAAATAGAATTGCTAAATCAAAGCATTTTTCACTTGACCCCCTAGATATTGTAGCAACTTGTACAACCATCAATGATGTGGAATAGATTCTGCATGAACACACTATTATTAGCACAAAAGATTGTCAAACTCTGTCTTTGCAAGTCTAAGATGGGAAAAAAGGTGTTTCATGATTTTAATTTGTATTTACTTAACTATGAGTAAGGTCTATTTCTTTTGATATGCTTTAAAAATTGTATTTTTTATTTGAAGAGTCAACAAATGTCTTTTTCCCATTTTTAATTGGGGTTTGGTCTTTTTCATATTGATTTGTAAGAGCTTTTGGATATTAAGAATATTGGGTCTTTGACACGTGTGGTAAACATATTTTCTCCAGTTCTTCATCTGTCTGTTACATCTTTTATAAATTTTGTTTGTGTGATCTAGACATTTAAAGTTGCTATGTGGTTAATTTCTTCTGGATTTTGTTACTGGCTTCTGATTTCTTTTTCGAGTCACGGACTTGAGAGTAGGTCACATCTGTTGTTCTCTGGATCTTTTGTGTGCTTTTGAGGAATGTGTTTAAGAGAATCAAGGGTTAGAAGAAAGATTTTCGAGTTCTGATTGTGATCCATCACAATTTAATAGCTTTTAAGGCAACTAACCAGGAGATTAAAGGTTATTAAAGGTTAAAGAGGAAGGCAATTATTGTCACATCTGTCATGGGAGTGAACTTCGAGCTTTTCTCTCTAGACCAAGGATGCTTGCTGGTGGCCTAAGTCATGGGCCATTAGGTGTAACCTCCCATTTTGGTCTTCATCATTAGAATTTATTTCTAAGTTTGCCAAGGCACACCAGCAACTTTCAGTAAAATGTGAAAATCTCTTTTTTGGAGTGTATGTATGGAAAATATTTGTATATCTTTAATTTACATTCTTGTTGTAGATATAGGCAAAAATAGATAATGTCCCTCACTTTGCTTATCAAATAAAGTGTCTTTTAGCGCATTGGTACTATTAGTGTTCTTGAGATTTTGTGATGTTTATTGCTCACTTTACTGAAGAGAAGATTGGAAAAGAAAATACAGAGTACTTGGATGGGATTTCTGCAGTACTGAGCAAGTATATCAAAGAAGATAGATTCATATGTCTTATACAGGAAAAAAGAGCTCATGTCTCTTTTCTACCCCAGTAGACCTGATGTGAGCATTAAGTTTCTTTCTTTCTTTTTTTTTTTAATCCATGGACACTCTGTTCTTGGAACTGCTTCATTGAGCTATGAGCAAGTTTTTTCCCTGCTCAAATTTTCTCATATTTCTGTCCCCAACTCCTTTGTTCTTTACTGTGATATTTTACAAAAAAACCATTCAACTTAATAAACGTTAAAATCATTTAAAATAATCTTAGGAAATTGAAAATCAAAAAAGCTCCATAATATAATAAATACATTATTAGCTCATTTCCCCTGGCACCATCTAACATTTGTACAGTGTAACTGCATATGGTCTTTTATGACTTAATTAACTGATCTCTTTATTTAAATATTTACATTGTTTTCAAGGTTTTGCTTTTACAATCAATATTGGAGATGTTTGTACATATAAGATGTGTGTACATGCAATATTTTGCCCACTCGGTGGCTGATTTTCTTCAGGAAAATTATTAAAAGTAGAATTTTGGATCAAATAATAGGCATATTTTTAGGGCATTTGATACCTATTCATATAGTGCCCTCCATAACTTATGAAAACTGATACCAACAATAGATGACATCCTCTTTCCTAGAGCCCTTATTAACACTGAGCATTCATATTAAAGATCTCTATCAATTTGTAGATGAAATATATGATCCCATTGGTGGTAGAATTTGCATTTATTGGTTATGAATGAGGCTAAACTTTTTTTGCTTATTTTATTTATTCTTTTAGAAAATGTGCACTTAAATCATTGAAAATTTTGTGCTGTTTGATTTTTTATTATTGATTTATAAGAGCTCATTGCATATAAAGGATATTTATCCTTTGAATGTCATGTAGTACACTGAATATTCAATAATCCAAACGTTCTTCTGAATTTTGCTTATATATGTATATACTGACACATGTATATATATAGTACTTTTACTTGATTTTTACATATGTATATACACACACATCATTTTGCTTTCTTACATGTCAATGCTTATTCATGTATTATTTTATTTTAGATTTTAATTAACAATATAATTAAAAAGGACATTAATTTATTGTGGTATATATAATATATATAATTTATATATATATATAAAATTTATATATATATATATATATGTGTGTGTATATATATATATATATTTTTTTTTTTCCTGAGACAGAATCTTGTTCTGTTGCCCAGGCTGGAATGCAGTGGTGCGGTCTTGGCTGACTGAAACCTCTGCCTCCCAGGTTCAAGCGATTCTTGTGCCTCAGCCTCCCGAGTAGCTACAGGCGCCTGCCACCATGCCTGGCTAATTTTTGTATGTTAGTAGAGAAGGGGTTTCACTATGATTCCCAGGTTGGTCTTGAACTCCTGAGCTCAGGCAATCTGCCTGCATCAGCCTCCCAAAGTGCTGGGATTACAGGCGTGAGCCACCACGCCTGGCTGTGATACATTTTTTGAAATATGTGATACATTTTTTGAAATACGTTTTAAAATTAGTATCATTGTAAATCCCTTTGTTACATTTTTTAAAGTAAGCTTTGGAAGTTCTATTCTCTTAAACTTGTACTAAAGCATTAAGGATATTTTATCTCCATAATATTGCTTCAGATGATTTCTTTTATTAAGTAACTTAAATAAGACTGCTATATTTTGAAGTATGCTTCTTTAGGAATTCTGCTGCTTTGTGCCCAATTACTTCTATTTATATACAATTTTGAAACTGAAAAATGCTTCAAAAGATCATTCTTCATGCAATTGTACATGTACAATACTCTCTTAGAACAAATCATGTTGGAAGCTTATTTATATAAGGTATTTATGTACCTATTTCATAATATGCTTTGTGGATCAATTTTAAGACATTTTCCTGTGCTCTTTTTGATACTTGCCTCATGATTCTAAGCATCAGTTTGTCAAATGCGACAGCAAGTATTATTAGTCCTAATATCCGCTATGTGTTACGTAGTTACATGTGCCAAGTATTGTTACAGGTAATTCCAGTTCATTGTCATTTAATCCTCGTAAAAATTCTGTAAAGTAAGTTATATTATTAATGGTGTTTTATATTATATGACATAATATATGATATAATTGTAATTAATATGTCATATACAATATATGATATATTAATATAATATCAAAATTCTGTAAAGTAAGTTATATTATTAACAGTTTTATATGATATGTTATATGTAATATATGATATTTAATTATAATATAATTATAATTATTATTAAATTGCATATCATATATAATCTAATCTAATAATATATTGCTAATCCTGTTTTATATTGTATGTAAGGGAATTTAGACATGGAGAGGACAACTTGCCAAAGGTCATTCAGCTAGAGGAGCCTGAATTAGACCTTCAGAACCCCAAGTGAATCAGAAAATTATGTTTTTACATAAAATCTCTAGATTTGTTAATGTTGCCAACTAATTCAGACACATTTTATATATTGTGTGACTCAACAAAATGCAGTCCAAAGACAAAATATCTGCACACTGAACACAGCCCATTGCTATCATTTTGTGACTTCTGACTTACAAGATCTTTTATTCATGTACATCTTCCCAGTACCACTGGCTTTGTTCACCACTGCTGCCTTTTCTGGATCTTTCTATGAGGCATTTTATCATACTCTGGTCTCTACACTGTTAAATAGGGCTTATTTACTGGTTTCTTCTCATATTCTTGCAAGTAATTAAAAAGGACAAATAGGCCCATCCAAAGAAGAAAGAGCGGGAGAGAGAGAGAGAGAGAGAAGCTGTGTTCATTTGAGGTAAAATATACTAAAATTAAAAAGCTCTTGATGAGTTTAGGAAAATGAAACTATTGTTTTGAGAAGAATCAGGCAATCTTATAAAGAAGTTGTTCTTTACCTCTTATCCTCATTGGAAATTTTTCACCCTAAATACTGCAATGCTCTGTTTCATTAGTGGAGTGTATTGTGTTGATTGCAGGGTTATGTTACCTCTCATCACCATCCTGTTGTCTATACGCTCCTTTTTTTTTTTAACCTGAAAACTCCTCATTTGAAACTTTTTCCTCATTCATGAAATTGTTTTTTTGTGTGACATCGGTCCCATTTATGCCCTTTTCTCTTTTCTTGGTATATATATGTAGCTAGTGGTACTGGTCTTTGCATTTCAACCACACTTTAATTGGTTGGGATATTTCATTTGAATCCTTAAGCTTGGAGTTTTACGCTGTCTCACTCACAACATCCAGCAGAGAAATCAGTCCTATCAGCCCTTTCCTCGCACAGTTGACATGGCTGAAGTGCTCTACAAGCAATGGAAGCTTTTATTCCAGAAATAGAGAGAAACTTAATGAACTGAAGGACTGGTGTGTGACCTGCAAAATAAAAAATGAGATTGACTAAACTGGGACATTTCTGCCTCCTCCTGCTGAACTAAAATAGAATATATTCAGCCAATCCCATTTGCAGTCTGGCCTTGGAATGCTCCTGTGATAAGGGCTACATAATACCATGGAATAAAATCTAAACAATTGCTAGGGTTACACATATATATGTATATATACACATATGTGCACACATATGTGTGTGTATGTATATGTATGTATATTTCCTTTAAAGAGGTATCTGATGTTATAATTTTTTAAAAGATATCATGATTGAGGATCTACTTTTTTGAAGTTAAAAACCTTCCCTTTCAATTTTTGTAAAAGATCCCTTTTGCCTCTTATACTATATTAAGAAAACAGATATATAATACAAATTATATATTTTTCTGATTCTTTAAACTTTTCGCTTATATTTGTCTCAGGTTTAGAAGAAAAAAAAGACCTTTAAGGGCAGAGAAAAAGAGCTGGGAGCCGAGCAGAAAGGGGATTGTTTAAGTATCCTCATCTACTGTCCCCTATAGCAGGCCTCCCCAGACAGCCAAATTACAAATTACACAGAAGCTAAGAAATTTTATTCCCTTTTTAAATTGCTACAAAAACAAACAAAAGAAGAATAATATTTTGTGGCATGTAAAAATTATACGTAATTCAAATTGCAATGTCCATAAATCGAGTCATATTGGATTTACGTGTGGTCTATGGCTGCTTTTCTGCTATAATGGCAGAGCTGTGTAGTTGCAAAAGAGACCATATGTGTCTCAAAGTCTAAAACATTTACTATCTGGCTATTTACTGAAAGGTTTGCTGAACGCTAAGTCATAGTATTAATTGTTTAAATCATAATATCTTGTTCTTAATTTAGAAAAATAAATGTTGTGGATTGCCAACTTGCTCTCTTCTAGTCAGCCGGAGTTTTTCCTCCAAATTATTAATCTGCATATATCTGCTCTGCAATTTTTTTTTTCAGTTTTGTCTTAACTTTATTAAGATATGCCCTTCACTCCAATTTCTATCTATATTTGTTTCAAAACAATATTGGGGCTTCACTCAGACTTTAATCAAGTGTAAAGGAAGAATTGGAAGTGAGATTGGTCCCAGTAAATGTATTCCTCAGCACGTATCAATACCTTTAACTCTTTTATTGGGTTACATTACCACCTAATAAAAACCTCTTGAAATGCCAACTTGTTGTCCAGCAATATTAAACAGCATTGTGATGTATAATACACATTTCATAGTCCTTATATTAGCATACAATGCCTTTCACAATGTTGCCACAACATACCCTTATGTCATTTTTCAATCCTCTCCTGTTTATGTGTTCTCTTCTGCCACAGTGATCCTCACACTCTTCCCCAATCAGCTTTGTCTAATTTCTATACATTTGTTTTACCTGGTACTCCCTATTCACCATTATTCATCTCTAATTTTTAATCTGCTCCAAATTTGAGATGACACCACTCTATGGCCCAGATTACATATCACTTTAATTAATTTATTTTCAATGCTCTGAAAATTTTAGGTGTTCAAGATCAGAAATTCTTTAAGGTCAATGAGTTTTTACCATTTGTCCGTTTGTTTTTCATTAATGGCCATTTGTCCATTTATTTGTTTTTCATTAATGCCCATTTTCATTAATGTCCATTGTTCATTATTTGTTTTTCATTAATGCCCATTTGTCCATTTGTTTTTCTTTAACTAAATGCCATCACCATATTTAGACATTACTCTCATATTCTTGGTCTTCCATCTAGGAGTAGAAAATGAAACCATCCTAGGTCTAGATCTGTTGTTGCTTCAGTGTATACAGTGAAGCAGGGTGTATTAGTCAGGGTTCTCTAGAAGGACAGAACTAACAGGATAAATGTATATATGAAATGGAGTTGTTAAGGAGAATTGACTCACACAATCGCAAGGTAAAGCCCTGGGACAGGCCATCTGGAAGTTGAGGAGCAAGGAAGCCAGTGGTGGATCAGTCTGAGTCCCCAAACCTCAAAAGTAGGGAAGCTGAAAGTGTAGCCTTTAGTCTGTGGCCAAAGGCCCGAGAGACCCTGGCAAACCATGGTGTAAGTCCAAGTCCAAAAGCTGAAGAACTTAGAATCTGATGTTCAAGGGCAGGAAGAATCCAGCATGGGGGAAAGATGAAGGCTGGAAGACTTAGCAAGTCTAGCTGTTCCACATTCTTCTGTCTGCTTTTATCCTGGCTGCACTGGCAGCTAAGTAGATGGTGACCATCCAGACTGAGCATGGGTCTGCCTCTCCCAGTCCACTGACTCAAATGTTAATCTCCTTGGGCAACACCCTCACAGACATACCCAGGAACAATACTTTGTGTCCTTCAATCCAATCAAGTTGACACTCAATATTAACCATCACACAGGGAGTTACAGGCCCTCAACTCCAGCAAATGAAGGTGATGTCCTGGTTCTCTCTCTCCATTTTTTTTTTGGCGGGGGGAGCATAAAAGGGCCGATGTTGTGGCTGCCAATGAAATTATTTACATCCTTCTTGAGGGTTAATCCCATTAACTCCTATCAGGAGGCAAAGATTTAAGTGAATCCTTAAACTGCTAGAGGGGACCTTGATACCAAGTTCCTGGAAAAAGGAACCTTAGGCAGAGGAATTTACAAAACACCTCACAGAAAATAATGGGTGAAGTAATTTTTGACATGCTCTGTTTCGGAATGATGGTCATCTATTTATTATTATTTACTCTAATAAGAATAAAAAACTCATATAGCAGAGTGACAGGAAGTTTGAAATTTTCTTTAAAATTTCACATAGCAATTTGGCAAATTCTACTTGTATTTTAATTTCAGCTTTTATTATACTCCCTAACTCTGCCAGGCAGAATTACTTATCTTTTCTGCACCATAGCATTATGTTTAGTCATAGCACTTACTGTGATGTTTTGTAATTTATATTTCTGTCTCCTCAAATAGACTGTTGAGCTTCTTGAGGAATATGTGGTTTATAACTCAGAGAAAAAGATCTCACTAAAATGTTAACGATGATCACTTTTGATAGTGAGGTTATTTGTGATCCTTTAAAAAATTCTTTTTGTTTCTGCTTATCTAATTTTCTATTCTTTATATAACTTTAAAAAATTTTTTCAGCAAGTAAGTATTGACTTTGTGCCAGTTTACATTCTAAGCATTGGGTAATATGCAGTAACCAAAACAGAGCAAAATCCCTGTTCTCATGGAGCTTATATTCCTGTAAGGAGACACAACAAAAGAAAAGTAGGGAAGAAAAGAAAGAGGAGGAGGAAAAAAGAAAAAGATGGTGAGACAAAAGGAAGAGGAAGAGAGAAGAAGGAGAAGAGAAGGAAGAGCAAGTAATAGTAGTAGCAGAGGGTGATCAATGACTGTTGATCATTTGGAGGTAAATGCAAGGTAAAAGATAGCTCCTAATGGTTAAATCTTGTTAAGCAGAGAAGAATATATAGAAGATGTAAACATGTTAGTATGCCAGGAGTTTCTTTAACATCCTTTCTAAAAGTGAAAATTTCTTAAAAAAATAAAAGTGCTGGAAACTCCAAACTCAAGATGTATAAAATCCTGTCTACTGTTGTGGAGAGTGTTGATGGATGACGGGTTAGATGGAACCCTTTCAGTCACCTTCTGACACATCTACTAATTGCCTTTGCCTCTACGGAAACTTCAAGAAGACAATTATTTGTAGAATTACCAGAGGAGGTTAATGGACTATGTTTAAAATTATATATTTAAAGTATGAAAGAGGGGACAATTTATGGGTCAAATTCTCTGTAGAGATAGGATAGGATGTTAAGAACACAACTTTGGAAAGCACGATATAGCTCATTGGGAGAGAAACAAATAAGAGAAAGGGAGAGGCCTACAAAAATGTTAGGATGATGGCAACAGTGGGTTGGAGTAGTTTTCACCTCATCTCCTAACCACTAGAAGTACCACCAAAAGCAACATAAACAATAATAACAAATCTTTAAAATGAGTAATTGCTTTTGTTAATATTATGTAAAATTTGTGTAAATAGACTTTTACAAAGTTCTATGATTATAGATCCAAAATATTATGATACAATTGAAACCAATGTGCTTGCTTGCAAAGGCAGTTTCAAGATTTGTCCCTTAGTCCTCCCTTTAAGCCAGATTACCATGCTAGGCCACTCCTGTTCAGCGATCAAAAGGAATGAGAAAAGAGAAGTCACATTGGTTAGCTTCATTTTTTTCTCAGGAAAGTAGAAGGTTGACTCACAGGTTAAGATTTGTAAACTTGGAAAAAAAGGAAGCAATATCTGGAGTAGCAATGAAAGGCATGGCATAAATAAAATAAATTTGAATAATGTGGATTATAGACATTCTCAGCTCTCACTGTTATGGATAGGTGCTCTTTTTACTGCTTTTCTTCCTTATCAGTAGTAACAACAATTAATAATTTGCTACTCGACTGTAAAACTCAAACTACTATTTTAACTTTTGAGCTATTGCTATTATTCTTACTTACGTTATTATTATTTGCACCTATGTAACTATTAACTTACAACACCAGCAGAAGCAGTCAGAGTAGAACTACCTAGATGGATACCAGAATTCTGATAAAAAGAAAATTTAAATGTAGGGTAGAGATAATGTGGCCTCTTTAATACATTGGAAAAAAGTCAAGAATTGGACATGACAAATAATCCAATGTACTAGGTAGGTTTTTGCTTTTAGCATCGATTCTGTACTGGGACCAAAATGATAATAAATTACAGCCCTCCATACAAGGAAGGTAATTGTTAAATCTAATGATTGCTTTAGGGAAGAATAGGATGGCAAATTCTTAGGTGAAATTGATGCTTCTATTCTAATGCAGGTCTGGCACAAGGAATTTAGTGGGTGTGACAGATCCTTTGCTATAGCACACTACCTATTAGCCCAGGAGTCAGGAGGTAGTTAAAAGAAACAGGTAACATTTGAGTTCTACTTTTTTTCACTCTGTGTGAGAGAGAAATTGCTTCTGTGTGGGGAGAAGATGATGTTATTTAGTCAAGCATGGAAAAAGGAAATAATAAAACAGTCAGGCCTGAAATAAGAGACAAACTATATATAACGGTAAGGTTCATCCCCTGTAAAATCCCATCATATTCAGAGTTAAACATCAGCCTTTCCCACCTCTTGGTTATTCTCCTCCTTATTTCTAGTGAAGCTTTCTTCCTCTATGACCCAAGGTGCTAGAATTTCTCACTGGAATGCTTACCTTTAGATCTGCCATTTATAAGAAGTTTCTAGAACAAGTCTGCTCCACTTTCCTTATCAAATAACCAATCTTTCTTATTTCTCATCATGATGATATAGTGAGTGGCATGGGCTGAATGGTGTAACTTCTAGTTCATATGTGGAAGTCATAACCTCCAGTGGCTAAGAATGTGCCCTTATTTGGAAATAGGGTCGTTGGAGATAATCAAGTTAAGATGAGGCTGATAGGATGGGCCTTAATTCAATATGCCTGTGGGCTTATAAATGGGAGAAATTTGGACATAGGGAGAATGCGGTGTGAAGATGAAGGCCGAGGTTGTGATGATGTTTCCGCAAGCCAATGAACACCAAGGACCACCAGAAAACCACTAGAAACTAGGAAAGAAGCCTGAAACAGAGTCTCCCTTACAGACCTCAGAAAAAAAAAAACAATCTTGATGACATCTTGATCTCAGCCTTCTAGTTTTCAGAGCTTGAGCTACTCAATTCATGATACACTCTTATGTCAGCCCTAGCTAACTAATACACTTGGGAAAGCAATTCCTCTCTGAAGTATTAACAACATGTAACAAAGGCATTACCAACCCAGAACTTTCAGGTTTTGACAATTTAAGATATATATATATATATCATATATATATATCATATATATCATATATATCATATACATGATATATATATCATATATATCATATATATGATATATATATCAATCATATATATATATCATATATATCATATATATATCATATATATATCATATCATATATATATCATATATATATCATATCATATATATATCATATATATCATATATATATCATATCATAGATATATCATATATATATCATATATATATCATATATATATGATATATATATCATATATATATATCATATACATATATATACACACACACATTTGAAAGTGGGGGAGAAAGGTGGAGTAGAAAACAGGCACTTTGAAAAATCTGTACAAAGGCCAAAAGGTGACCTCTACCACTCACATAGATGTGCAACTCTTCCAGCTAAAGCCAGGACACTTGTTCTTTAAGCAATTGACCCTGAGAAGCCCTGGACTAAGGGGCAGAAAGCACAGCTGAGGGGAAAGAAGAGACACTGAACAGAAAATTTGAATTGTCAGTGAAAGTATATGCATTGAATGGTGAGACAACCACATCCACAACAAAATTCTCCCCTATCTCAGCAACCAGAATACCAGGCTTTTTGTATCCATCTCCTTCCAAGTAAGAGACTGTCTTACTGTCTTTGAAATCTCTTCGTTCCAAGAGAAAATATCTATTTTCTTGTAGCTGGGTTCCCCCAATGAATGACTAGGTTCCCATCAGATTACTCTACAGAAAATTCACAATAGATAATTTTTTTATTATACTTTAAGTTCTGATAAACATGTGCAGAACATGCAGGTTTGTTACATAGGTATACACGTGCCGTGGTGGTTTGCTGCACGCATCGACCTGTCATCTACTTTAGGTATTTCTCCTAATGCTATCCCTCCCCTAGCCCCTCAACCCCTGACAGGCCTCAGTGTGTGATGTTCTCATCCCTGTGTCCATGTGTTCTCATTGTTCGACTCCCACTTATGAGGGAGAACATGCGGTACTTGGCTTTCTGTTCCTGTGTTTGTTTGCTGAGAATGATGGTTTCCAGCTTCTTCCATGTTCCTGCAAAGGACATGAACTCATCGTTTTTTAATGGCTGCATAGTGTTCCATGGTGTATATGTGCCACATTTTCTTTATCCAGTTTATACTAATGTGCATTTGGTTGGTTCCAAGTCTTTGCTATTGTGAACAGTGCCACTATAAACATACGTGTGCATGTATCTTTATACTAGAAGAATTTATAATCTTTTGGGTATATACTCAGTGATGGGATTGCTGGGTCAAATGTACTTCTGGTTCTAGAGCCTTGAGGAATCGCCATACTGTCTTCCACAATGGTTGAACTAATTTACACTTCCACCAACAGTGTAAAAGTGTTCCTATTTCTCCACATCCTCTCCAGCATCTGTTGTTTGCTGACTTTTTAATGACTGCCATTTTAACTGGCATGAGATGATATCTCATTGTGGTTTTGATTTGCATTTCTCTGATGGCCAGTGATGGTGAGCATTTTTTCATGTGTCTGTTGGCTGCATAAATGTCTTCTTTTGAGAAGTGTCTGTTCATACCCTTTGCTCACTTTTTGATGGGGTTGGTTGTTTATTTCTTGTAAATTTGTTTAAGTTCCTTGTGGCCTCTGGATATTAGCCCTTTGTCAGATGGATAGATTGCAAAAATTTTCTCCCATTCTGTAGGTTGCCTGTTCGCTCTAATGATAGTTTCTTTTGCTGTGCAGAAGCTCTTTAGTTTAATTAGATCCCATTTGTCAATTTTGGCTTTTGCTGTCATTGCTTTTGGTGTTTTAGTCTTGAAGTCTTTGCCCATGCCTACGTCCTGAATGGTATTGCCTAGGTTTTCTAGTGTTTTTATGGTTTTAGGTCTTACATTTACATCTTTGATCCACCTTGAGTTAATTATTGTATAAGGTGTAAGGAAGGGTTCCAGTTTCAGCTTTCTGCATATGGCTAGCCAGTTTTCCAGATGCCATTTACTAAATAGGGAATCCTTTCCCTGTTGTTTGTTTTCATCAGGTTTGTCAAAGATCTGATGGTTGTAGATGTGTGGTGTTATTTCTGAGGCCTCTGTTTTGTTCCATTGGTCTATTTATCTGTTTTAGTACCAGTGCCATGCTGTTTCGGTACCAGTAGCATGCTGTTTTGGTTACTGTAGCCTTGTAGTATAGTTTGAAGTCAGGTAGCATGATGCCTCCAGCTTTGTTCTTTTTGCTTAGGATTGTCTCGGCTATACAGGTTCTTTTTTGTTTCCATATGGAATTTAAGTAGTTTTTTTCTAATTCTGTGAAGAAAGTCAAAGTAGCTTGATGGGGATAGCATTGAATCTGTAAATTACTCTGGGCAGTGTGGCCATTTTCACGATATTGATTCTCCTATCCATGAGCATGGAATGTTTTTCCATTTGTTTGTGTTCTCTCTTATTTCCTTAAGCAGTGGTTTATAGTTCCCCTTGGAGAGGTCCTTCACATCCCTTGTAAGTTATATTCCTAGGTATTTTATTCTCTTTGTAGCAATTGTGAATGGGAGTTCACTCATGATTTGGCTCTCTGTTTGTTATTGGTGTATAGGAATGCTTGTGATTTTTGCACATTGATTTTGTATCCTGAAACTTTGCTGAAGTTGCTTATCAGCTTAAAGAGATTTTGGGTTGAGATGATGGGGTTTTCTAAATACACTATCATGTCGTCTGCAAAGAGAGACAATCTGACTTCCTCTCTTCCTATCTGAATACGCTTTATTTCTTTCTCTTGCCTGATTGCCCTGGCCGGAACTTCCAATACTATGTTGAATAGGAGTGGTGAAAGAGGGCATCCTTGTCTTGTGCCGATTTTCAAAGGGAATGCTTCCAGTTTTTGCCCATTCAGTGTGATATTGCCTGTGGGATTGTCATAAATAGCCCTGATTATTTTGAAATATGTTCCATCAATACCTAGTTTATTGAGAGTTTTTAGCATGAAGGCCTGTTGAATTTTGCCGAAGGCCTTTTCTGCATCTATCGAGATAATCTTGTGGTTTTTGTCACTGGTTCTGTTTATGTGGCGGATTACATTTATTGATTTGCGTATGTTGAACCAGCCTTGCATCCCAAGGATGAAGCCAACTTGATCATGACGGGTAAGCTTTTTGATGTGCTGCTGGATTTGGTTTGCCAGTATTTTATTGAGGATTTTCACATCGATGTTCATAAGGGATATTGGCCTGAAATTTTCTTTTTTTGTTGTGTCTCTGCCAGGTTTTGGTATCAGGATGATGCCGGCCTCATAAAATGAGTTAGGGAGGCCATCCTTTTTCTGTTGTTTGGAATAGTTTCAGAAGGAATGGTACCAGTTCCTCTTTGTACCTCTGGTAGAACTCGGCTGTGAATCTGTCTGGTCCTGGGCTTTTTTTGGTTGGTAGGCTATTAATTACTAGCTCAATTTCAGAACTTGTTATTGGTCTACTCAGGGATTCAACTTCTTCCTGGTTTAGTCTTGGGAGGGTGTATGTGTCTAGGAATTTATCCATTTCTTCTATATTTTCTAGTTTATTTGCATAGAGGTGTTTATAGTATTCTCTGATGGTAGTTTGTATTTCTGTGGGATCAGTGGTGATATCCCCTTTATCATTTTTTATTGCATCTATTTGATTCTTCTCTCTTTTCTTCTTTATATTCTGGCTAGCGGTCCATCTATTCTATTAATCTTTTCAAAAAACCAGCTCCTGGATTCATTCAGTTTTTGAAGGGTTTTTTTGTGTGTCTTTATCTTCTTCAGTTCTGCTTTGATCTTAATTATTTCTTGTCTTCTGCTAGCTTTTGAATGTGTTTGCTCTTGCTTCTCTAGTTCTTTTAATTGTGATGTTAGGGTGTCAATTTTAGATCTTTCCCACTTTCTCCTGTGGGCATTTAGTGGTATGAATTTCCCTCTAAACACTTCTTTAGCTGCGTCCCAGAGATTCTGGTACATTGTGTCTTTGTTCTCATTGGTTTCAAGTAACTTATTAATTTCTGTTTTAATTTTGTTATTTACCCAGTAGTCATTCAGGAGTTGTTCAGTTTCCATGTAGTTTTGCAGTTTTGAGTGAGTTTCTTAATCCTGAGTTCTAATTTGATTGCATTGTGGTCTGAGAGACAGTTTGTTATGATTTACATTCTTTTGCATTTGCTGAGGCATGTTTTACTTCCAGTTATGTGGTTAATTTTAGAATAAGTACGATGTGGTGCTTAGCCAGAATGTGTATTCTGTTGATTTGGAATGGAGAGTTCTGTAGATGTCTATTAGGTCTGCTTGGTCCAGAGCTGAGTTCAAGTCCTGAATATCCTTGTTAGTGTTCTGTCTCATTGATCTGTCTAATATTGACAGTGAGATGTTAAAGTCTCCCACTATTATTGTGTGGGAGTCTAAGTCTCTTTGTATTTCTCTAAGAACTTGCTTTATGGATCTGGGTGCTCCTGTATTGGGTGCATATACATTTAGGATAGTTAGCTCTTCTTCTTGCATTGATCCTTTTACCATTATGTAATGCCCTTCTTTGTCTTTTTGGATCTTTGTTGGTTTAAAATCTGTTTTATCAGAGACTAGGATTGCAACCCCTGCTTTTTTTTTTTTTTTGCTTTCTATTTGCTTGGTAAATATTCCTCCATCCCTTTATTTTGAGTCTGTGTATGTCTTTGCACATGAGATGGGTCTCCTGAATACAGCACACTGATGGGTCTTGACTCTTTATCCAATTTGCCAGTCTGTGTCTTTTAATTGGAGCATTTAGACCATTTACATTTAAGGTTAATATTGTTATTTGTGAACTTGATCCTGTCATTATGATGCTAGCTGGTTATTTTGCGCATCAGTAGATGTAGTTTCTTCATAGTGTTGATGGTCTTTACAATTTGGTATGTTTTTGCAGTGGCTGGTACTGGTTTTTCCTTTATATATTTAGTGGTTCCTTCAGGAGCTCTTGTAAGGCAGGGATGCTGGTGACAAAAATCTCTCAGCATCTGCTTGTTCGTAAAGGATTTTATTTCTCCTTCACTTATGAAGCTTAATTTGGCTGGATATGAAATTCTGGGTTGAAAATTCTTTTCTTTAAGAATGTTGAATATTGGCCCCCACTCTCTTTTGGCTTGCAGGGTTTCTGCAGAGAGGTCTGCTGTTAGTTTGATGGGCTTCCCTTTGTGGGTAACCTGACTTTTCTCTCTGGCTGCCCTTGACATTTTTTCCTTCATTTCAACCTTGGTGAATATGACAATTATGTGTCTTGGGATTGTTCTTCTTGAAGGGTATCTTTGTGATGTTCTCTGTATTTCCTGAATTTGAATGTTGGCCTTTCTTGCTAGACTGGGGAAGTTCTCCTGGATGATATTCTGAAGTGTTTTCCAACTTGGTTCCATTCTCCCCGTCACTTTCAAGTACACCAAATAAATGTAGGTTTGGTCTTTTCACATAGTCCCATATTTCTTGGAGCCTTTGCTCATTCCTTTTCATTCTTTTTTCTCTAATCTTGTCTTCACACCTTATTTGATTAAGTCAATCTTTAATCTCTCATATTCTTTCTTCTGCTTGGTCTATTTGGCTGTTGATACTTGTGTATGCTTCACAAAGTTCTCGTGCTTTGTTTTTCAGCTCCATCAGGCCATTTATGTTCTTCTCTAAACTGGTTATTCTAGTTAGCAATTACTCTAACCTTTTTTCAAGGTTCTTAGCTTCCTTGCATTGGGTTAGAACATGCTCCTTTAGCTTGGAGGAGTTTGTTATTACCCACCTTCTGAACCCGACTTCTGTCAATTCTTCCAACTCATTCTCCATCCAGTTTTATTCCCTTGCTGGTGAGGAGTTGTGATCCTTTGGAGGAGAAGAGGCATTCTGGTTTTTGGAATTTTCAGCCTATTTGTGCTAGTTTTTCTTCATCTTCATGGATGTATCTACCTTTGGTCTTTGATGTTGGTGACCTTCGGATGGGGTTTCTGTGTGGACATGCTTTTTGTTGATGCTGATGCTATTCCTTTCTGTTTGTTAGTTTTCCTTCAAACAGTCAGGGCCTTCTGCTGCAAGTCTGCTGGATTTTGCTGGAGGTCCACTCCAGACCTTGTTTTCCTGGGTATTACCAGTGGAGGCTGCAGAACAGCAAAGATTGCTGCCTGTTCCTTCCTCTGGAAGCTTTGTCCTAGAGGGGCACCTGCCAGATGCCAGCCGGTGCTCTCCCGTATGAGGTGTCTGTTGACCCCTGCTGGGAGGTGTCTCCCAGTCAGGAGTCATGCCCACTTGAAGAGGCAGTCTGTCCCTTAGCAAGAGCTCGAGCACTGTGCTGGGAGATCTGCTGCTCTCTTCAGAGCTGGCATGCAGGAATGTTTAAGTCTGCTGAAGCTGTGCCCACAGCCGCCCCTTCCCCCAGGTGCTCTGTGTCTGAGAGATGAGAGTTTTATCTATAAGCCCCTGACTGGGGCTGCTGCCTTTCTTTCAGAGATACCCTGCCCAGAGAGGAGGAATCTAGAGAGGCAGTCTGGCTACAACGGCTTTGCTGAGCTACTGTGGGCTCTGCCCAGTTTGAACTTCCTGGCAGCTTTGTTTACACTGTGAGGTGAAAACCACCTACTGAAGCCTCAGTAATGGTGGACGCCCCTCCCCCCACCAAGCTCAAGCCTCCCAGGTTGACTTCAGACTGTTGTGCCGGCAGCGAGAATTTCAAGCCTGGGGATCTTAGCTCGCTGGGCTCCATTGGAGTGGGAGCCGTTGAGCAAGACCACTTCACTCTCTGGCTTCAGGTCCCTTTCCTGGGGAGTGAATGGTTCTGTCTCACTGGCATTCCAGGTGCCACTGGGGTATGAAAAAAAAAAAACCAAAAAACAAAACAAAAAAACTCCTGCAGCTAACTCAGTGTCTGCCCAAAGGGCCACCCAGTTTTTTGCTTGAAACACAGGGCCCTGGTGGTGTAGGCACCCGAGGGACTCTCCTGGTCTGTGGGTTGCAAAGACCATGGGAAAAGTGTAATATCTGGGCCGGAGTGCACCATTCCTCATGGCACAGACCCTTATGGCTTCCCTTGGTTAGGGAAAGGAGTTCCCTGACGTGATGCCCCAACCTGCTTCTGCTCGCCCTCTGTGGGATGCACCTGCTGTCTAACCAGTCCCAGTGAGATGAGCTGGGTACCTCAGTTGGAAATGCAGAAATCACCCACCTTCTGCGTTGATCTTGCTGGGAGCTGCAGACTGGAGCTGTTTCTATTTGGCCATCTTGCCAGCCACCTAGATAATTTAAAGATATTTCAAGTATCCCTTTAAGGCCTCACTCTTCCTGGCTAATAATGGTCATTATGTCTGATGATACTTTTTTCTTAACTTTAACACTGTTTTTTGTTTTGTTTTGCTGTAAGGCTTATTAATATTTGGATTTTAAAATGTATACTTTTACTATTTTGAAACCAAAAAAGGGAAGGAAAGAAGGAATGAAAAGAGGAAGAAAGGAAGGAAGATAAGAAAGGAGAGAGGAGAAAAGAAAAGAAAGAAAAAAGTAAAAAAAGACAAAAGAAAAAAAGAAAAAAAAACAGGCAGGGAGGAAAGGAAGGAAAGAGAGAGAGAATGAGGGAAGGAGGGCAGGAAGGAGAAGGGCAGGGAAGCGAAGGAAAAAAGAAAGGAAGAAGCAAGTTAGCTCTAAGCAAATAATAGAGTGATACATACTTTAGACCTGCAGGATCACCTGTTTGTGTGTGTTGAGGGTGTATGGGTAAAGAAGAAGGGGTGGTCTATTCTGTATTTTTTCCTTTTAGGAACTACTAATTCCCAAATTCTTGTGATTATGGTAAAAGAGTTCAACACCCAGCCCCACCTTCACTGAAACAGAGGAAGCATATACCATAGGCTAACCAGTGTATCTCATGATTCTGGACAAAGTAATTGGCTCAATGATAAAGACATAATTGATATAGATTGATAAGAATACTGGGGAAGAGAGTGTGTCTCATTCTTTTCTCTGGGTTTCTTAGCTGTAACCCTGGAGCTGCTGAGGATCATCTTTGCAATTATATAATTGGATTCTTCCTGGAATAAAACAAACACAGAGGAAATCAGAGTGTAGAAATAGATACAGCTTCAGATATATGAAGATATTGCACATGGATTCAGCCATGCCTAAAATGGGTCTAATATTTCTTGGTTATCTTTGCCAATGCATATCTTTTGCACTTTGGCTAGTTTGAGTTGGTTTCTGTTACCTGGCACCAAGAGTTCTAAGTAATACAGAGCCTTATCTCCATTTCCCAGTCCCTCTTCTCTTTGTCCCTGACTTGTTTGCAACACTAACTCCAGGCACCCACAGTTCTCCTTTATAAAAATCTATGTTAAAAAATCATAAACTTTGTTTTGAAGGTCAGTTAGTACATTATCTGGGAATATTTGAATGTTGAGTTGGCATGAATAATAGCATGTTCTTTTGAATTTGGTTTTATTTCTTTCAGATATTTTAATCGACAATCCAGGTAATCATTATTCAAGCTTTATCTGTTAAATTGCAATTTTATGCAATTCTTTATAAAAGAGGCAGGAGTATGTTTAGTTATTGCTAAATAATTAAAATAAATTAGCAAAAACACAGATGATCTTTAAACCATTGGCTTCATCATTTCAGGTAAAAACAACTTAATTCAGCCAGTTATTTGTACTTTTTCAGAAACAATATTATATGACCAAAAATTTGTAAATAACAGTCAAATTGGTTTTTAAAAATTCAGATATATATATACACATAGTGTACATAACTATATTTTTCAAACACTTTCCTTCTCAATCATTCTTTAACCCCTCCTATCATTGCTACAAATTTTAAGCCAGGTGAGATACATTTTTTTTGTTGCTTTACCTTCTCTTTCTTCCCCTCCTTTTTGTCCAGGATGAAGACCCCGATTTTGAGAGAAGGTGATGGTGATGAGGATATGTGTGACATTAGTTTCTTGGATTGTTACAATGTTTGACCTACAGTTCAGTTCCCTGAGTGAACTTTTCTGGCTAAAAGCAAGCAGAAAGAACACTTGAAGAAGCATTAACAAAGAAGCCACTTTGTAGTCTTTAGGCTCATTATATTAATCAAAAGGAAATCACTGAATTGAGCTTTTTAGTTTTTTAATTGGAAAGATCTTAGAAATCAGCTCTAATATAAATTCCCACTTTGAAAAACTGAAGATAAACAAAGTTGAAAACTTAACTAGATAAATGCATTTGTTTTATTTCACCCATTCTGATTATAATTATGAAATACTTATTATAAATAGGGTAAAATTTTTGGAAACAGCCTAATTGTACACGTTTACTGCTGACAGAGCCATTATTTAGATTTTATATGAAATTTATAATACTTAGTGACATAGCCTGAAACAACATTTTTGTTTGTGTGTATGGATGGGAGGTTTATCAACTCAGAACTCACAACGAGAAGTTTATCAACATTTTTGCAAATAGTACTCTTATAATCTCCTTCCTGTGATAGGTAAAAGTCAAGCTCAGGAACTTCCTGCTGCTATTACAGATATAATTTTGTGTGTTCCATTACAGGAAAGACAAAGGTCAAAATGAAACTGAGCCATCATGCACTTTATGTGGAAGAAAAATGTCAGAACCAGACAGAGAATACTGTAATTTATATCCATGATATAGGGGTGACACCATCACTCTTGAATGATACTACAAATTGGTAATGAGGACACCTCTGTGGGTAATGAATGCCAATTTCTCAGCATACAATATTTGTGACACATTCAATTTATGAAGTTCTCCATCTTTAAGTTTCCCCAGAGTTTAAATTTAGTGATAGCTGCTCGTAACTACTCACTCTTGAGATCCAGTACTGTGTGAGAAGTGACCTTTAGAATTAGAGAGGAAAGAATGAGAAAGAGATGTGCTTGTTTCAAATTAACCTGTAAAGGTAGAAAAGTTACTTTTATCAACGCTTTGGTTTCACATCTTGCTCTCTCTTCACATCATAGGGTTTTTCAATAATAAATACTTGTTTCTTAAAATAGCCAATATTCCATACACTGTTGAAATATAAAGTCATTATTATTAAGAAAAAAGCTTCCCAGAGTCACTGAAAGTAGAATTAGAGAATCTTAATTCTTTTTTATTTATTTATTTATTTATTTATTTATTTTTTTAATTATACTTTAAGTTTTAGGGTACATGTGCACATTGTGCAGGTTAGTTACATATGTATACATGTGCCACGCTGGTGCACTGCACCCACTAACTCGTCATCTAGCATTAGGTATATCTCCCAATGCTATCCCTCCTCCCTCCCACCTCCCCACCACAGTCCCCAGAGTGTGATATTCCCCTTCCTGTGTCCATGTGATCTCATTGTTCAATTCCCACCCATGAGTGAGAATATGCGGTGTTTGGTTTTTTGTTCTTGCGATAGTTTACTGAGAATGATGGTTTCCAATTTCATCCATGTCCCTACAAAGGACATGAACTCATCATTTTTTATGGCTGCAAAAGAAACTACCATCAGAGTGAACAGGCAACCTACAGAATGGGAGAAAATTTTCGCAACCTACTCATCTGACAAAGGGCTAATATCCAGAATCTACAATGAACTCAAACAAATTTACAAGAAAAAAACAAACAACCCCATCAAAAAGTGGGCGAAGGACATGAACAGACACTTCTCAAAAGAAGACATTTATGCAGCCAAAAAACACATGAAAAAATGCTCATCATCACTGGCCATCAGAGAAATGCAAATCAAAACCACTATGAGATATCATCTCACACCAGTTAGAATGGCAATCATTAAAAAGTCAGGAAACAACAGGTGCTGGAGAGGATGTGGAGAAATAGGAACACTTTGACACTGTTGGTGGGACTGTAAACTAGTTCAACCATTGTGGAAGTCAGTGTGGCGATTCCTCAGGGATCTAGAACTAGAAATACCATTTGACTCAGCCATCCCATTACTGGGTATATACCCAAATGACTCTAAATCATGCTGCTATAAAGACACATGCACACGTATGTTTATTGCGGCATTATTCACAATAGCAAAGACTTGGAACCAACCCAAATGTCCAACAATGATAGACTGGATTAAGAAAATGTGGCACATATACACCATGGAGAATCTTAATTCTTAAGGGACCCCTTATGTGCAAACTGCCTGGACAATTTGCTTTGATATCAAAGCAACTTCAGATAGATTACAATGCATTCTATTCTAAGGCCTCACCTTCTCTGAGGGTGGAGATTGTATTCATTTCTGCAGAAGCCTCTTTCTGAATATTAGAATCTCTAAACAAACCTCCTTTATCTTTAGTGTAAATCTCCTTTCAATCACAACTTAAACCTGTTTTCCCCCCTTATGTAGGTCTCAGAGTACGAGAAAAGCTGGGAAGTACCCTTTTTATAAAAATTATATACTTTTAAAATTAGTTGTCATTTCATAACCTTCATTTCAGCAGATTGAATAACCTCACTTTATTCTTTCTTAACATGTTTTATTACCATTCTACTCATCATTTTGGCCTGCCTTTTCCAGAGTCTTTTTAAAAATTCTCCAAATTGCTCCTAAAATACAGAAATCAACATTAAACTTATACAAGTGCAGTCATGGATCATTAAATGACAGAAATATGTTCTCAGAAATTTGTCATTTGACAATTTAGTTGTGCAAACATCATAGAGTGTATTTACACAAACTAAGATGGTACAGCCTACTACACAGGTAGGCTATATGGTATAGCCTATTGCTCTTAGGCTACAAACCGTACAACATGTCACTGTACTGAATACTGTAGGCAATTGTAACAAAATGGAAAGCCTTTGCATATGTAAACATATCTAACATAGAAAAGATACAGTAAAATACAGTCTTATAATATTATAGGACCACCACTATACATGTGTCTGTTTTTGACTGAAACATTGTTATATAGTGCATGATTGTAAAGGGTATCATTGCTGGTTCTCATCTAGCCAACTGTGGTTTAAAATAACCCATTACTGACTCATAACAAACTCATGATCTGTTATCATTTCCAACTTTAAAAATATGCGGTCTCAATGTCTACCTAGTGTCTTCAACAATTAGTTGAGTTTGATTTAGGACACAAATGATTAGAGATAACCGGCAAGAAATCTTCCTTTTCTTCCAGCCTGACATGAATAACATATTGTACCACTGTTGGAAAACTGTCAAATTTATTTATTTTACTTTGGTGTAGATGGCCTCATTAAGAACATTAAATGTTTAAATACTTCAGGAAAAGGAAAGCTGTATTTCAGTCCACTTGATATTGTGATGTAAAGATACTGTATTAGTCAGAGTTCTCCAGAGGGACAGAACCAATGGTGGGGTAGGGGGTGGGGAGAGAGAGAGAGAGAGATGAGATAGGATTTATTAGGGGAATTGGTTCATACAATTATGGAGGCTGAGTCCCACAGTAGACCTCTGTAAGCCAGAGATCCTGGGAGGCCAGGAGCAAGGCTCAGTCCAAGTCTGAAAGCCTCAGAACCAGGGAACCCAACAGCATTAGGTCTGAAGCCAAAGGCATGAGAACCCAGAGGCCAAAGGCCAGAGAGCCTGGGGTTCTGATATCTAAAGGTGGGAGAAGAAGGTTGTCCAAGCTCCAGGAGGGAAAGAATTTGTCTTTGCTCTGACTTTTTGTTCTACCTGGACCCCCAACTGATTGAACAGTGCCTGCCTACGTTGAGGGTAGATCTTCCTCACTCAGTCCACCAACTCACATACCAATCTCCTCTGTAAACACCCTCACAGACGTACCCAGAAATAATGCTTTACCAGCTTTGTAGGTATACCTTAATTCAGTCAAATGAGAACCTAAAATTAACCATCACAGATACCTTCTTAATAAGTAGAAGAAAGCCAGTGGTTATGTCAAAAAATTCCAGCCTGAAACTCTTTTCAAACTTCATATATATATTATATTATGTACATATATACACAGATAATTTGTATGCAGCTGTATTTATGATATTAATATATTTGTGTGCTTATTGTGAATCTTTAGATTACTATCCCTTTGATGTCCTATCACTTTGCCAAATTGCAGCATGACACAAATAGTCATATGTATTTTAAATATATAAATACCATGATTTTGCTTTTTCTATTCTGGACTTTACTTTTCATATTATTTTTATTAAGGAAATCCAGGTAGATATACAGAGCATTGTATGTCTCAGACACATGAATCTAAATGTAAGGTATCTCACTCCTTTCCAAACTCCTGTTTTTTTCTGAAATGAGCTTGAATTTAGGAAGATTTTTAATGAAGGAGAAATGATGGTTTAACAGATGGCAGATGGGAGCTTGTTCTGGCTTTCTGAAATAGCATAAATTGTCCTGTAAAGCATCTATAGAAGGAGAGAGGCAGAAGGAAAGATGAGTGGTATTTCTTGATAGCGTGTTGGAAGCAGGTGGAAAAAATGATGGAGGTGATATTGGTAGGCGGGGTGGGAAGAGTAACATGGACACTCAGACTGATTGGCAATATAGGATGGAGTGCCACTGAACTTTTGAGGAGGAAGATAATTTCTGCAGCAGCAAAGGAAGAAGAACTGATTATTTAGTAAGTGAAAAGAGAACTATAGAAAGTGAAAAGGAGACTTAGCATATGGTGAATATTCAGCCCACGAGAAAGCATGCCAGCAACCCTTTCTAACTTCCCATTGTTGATTTCCCCACCTAGGAGTAGGCCTCTGATTTAAGTGCAATGAAAAGCAAGTTAACAGAAGAGTCTATACTTTTTAAAATCACATATTCATCAGCATTCCAACACATGCATTCTACAACTACATGGTACTGTGTTTATAATTGTGAACAAAATAGTGATGGTCCCAGTCCTTGTGGATCTTCTAGTTTAACTGGGGTGGAATACAAAAAGAAAAGTAAGTAAACAAGTAAGTACCTTACAAATTGTGGTAGGTGCTATGAAGGGGAAATAGCAATGTGCAGCATGGAAATGTAGGGGGGCGAGAAAACTACTTTAGACAGAATGATAACAGAAGTTTTTAGGAGGAGGTGATACTTGAGATTAGACATGGAATTAGAGAAGTTGGCGTTCAGGGAAAAGAGTTCTAGTTAGAAGGAAGAGCCTTTGTGATGATTTTAAGGAAGGAAAAAGCTTAGTGTGTTTCAGAGGTTAATGAAAGTCAGTGTGTCTGGAACATGGGGCTTAAGGATAAGAGTGGTGAGACATGAAACTGGGCCAGATCACATTGGGCCTTCTAGACCATATTTTTTTAAAATTATTTTATTCTAAGTGAAACAGGAGGTGACTGGTGGGTTTTTGGCAGGTGTCTGGCATGGCCAGAATTATATTTTTAAATGAGTGCCTTGGCCTTTGTATTAAAATTGATGAGGTAAAATAGGCAGAATTATAAACAGATATGATTATTTAGGCAAAAAGTGATGATGGATTTCATTATGGCAATGGCAGTTGAGATGAAGAGAAGTGAATGAAATCAAGATATGTTTGTAGTTAAATTGACAGGACTTGGAGATGGATTAGATATAAGTGATAAGCAAAAAATGAGGAATCAAAAACAATTCTCAGATTTGAGCAACTGGGCAAATGGGAAAAAGTTGGGGTATTGAGAAAATAGGCAGTATGTTTTAGAAAAATGAAATTTGAAATACCTGTAAGATATCCAAATGGAGATGTCTAATAGTTGCTTAATATGTGAGTTCAGAGGAAATGTCTGAGTTATAGATAGAAATTATTGACATATAGATGGTATATAAAATATTTATACAGACATACATAATACAACATACATTTATTCTGTGGTTATGAAATATGCAGGATATAAAATCAAATATATTTTACCATAAAGTTAAATTGGCCATCTTTGATGTCTCAGATAATATAAGCTTTAGCTTTTACTCTAGAATGGGCATTAGTACTTAGTCAGATTTAACTTAAACAGATATTTGTGGAGATATCAGAATACATTTGAAGACAGAAGACTTAATAGGTTTTTAAGATGATGTTCTGCCAGGTAAAAAGTGAGAGAGAATTCAAGTAGCATTCTCCAATGCAAAGTTTTTAGCCCTCATCAATTTTTCATTTGCTTCCTTACTTCTGCTGTTGGGCACAGAGGGTGTGGTGTGTGTGTGTGTGTGTGTGTGTGTGTGTATCTGTGTGTGTGTTTTTTCTTCTTTCCCCCTTTCCTGGTTAAGGACGTGTTCTCTATTATTAAGTCACCAATTAGGATCACTGCGTTATTTTTCGTTCCTGTTGGCTATTATAATAGTAATCACAATTAGCATTTTGGAGCAATTTTTTATACCTTCAAATTATTTTTGAAAACACTAACTATTTCTTAGTACACTTCTGTGTAAAATAATAATTTTATGGATGCAAGAATGAAAGAGCAGGTAAATTGATGACATTGTGACAGCTGTTGTTTATTTAAACAATAACTTAAATGATTTGATAGGTAGAATATCTTAGCTGGTGAGTTCATTGCATTTTTTTTTTTAAAGAATAGAATGGCAAATAATGAGTTAGTGGTCATAGGAAAGTTAAACTTCACTTATCCTATAGGCTGAGGGACTGAATCCTAGATAGCTGGACTTCAGTCTAGTAAGTATATAACTAGGTAAGTATATAACAATGTAAATAAATATATATAACTAAATATTACTCTATATATACTGTATAAATAGCTATATAATTATATATAACTTTATATATAAAGCTACATGTTTGCCTCTCAGACTTAGAATGTCAACCATTTTACATAAAATATTTTGAAACAAATCTTTCATCTTAATCAGATCAAACCAAGTATAATTTGATCTTTTCTAGATGATTTAGGATCAACATTATAAACATTTATTATTGTACTACACTAGAGCAATGTGAGGCCTACCTGCCAGAAGCTATGAAAAGTTTGCATTCTGACCTTTCCACAAGAGGGCCACAGGGGAGTGCACCCTTGCCTTTATCTGCTTTCAATATTCCTTATTACCCTGTTCCTTACCGCAACTTTTTTCTTAACTTCTTCATTTGCTTATTTCTCATTGGGCTCATCAGACTAAGTCAATGCTTAAGGAACTTAATTTTATTAAACCCACAGATTCCTCAGGGTGCGGTGGCTCACACCTGTAATCCCAGCATTTTGGGAGGCCAAAGTGGGCAGATCACTTGAAGATAGGAGTTGGAGACCAGCCTGGCCAACAAGGTGAAACCCCATCTCTACAAAAAATACAAAAATTAGCCAGGTATGGTGGCATGCACATGTCATCCCAGCTACTTGGGAGGCTGAGGCAGGAGAATTGCTTGAGCCTGGGAGGCAGAGGTTGCAGTGAGCCAAGATTGCGCCATTGCACTGCAGCCTGGGTGACAGAGTGAGACTCTGTCACCAAACAAAACCAAAACAACACCACCAACAAAAAATTCATAGATTTGAGTACACTTAAATCTATTTTGGTTGCTTTTTTGCCTATTTGGTTTTTATTGAGCTCCTTACCTTTGTTTAGAGAAGTTAGTTATAATCAGAGTAATATAAATTCATTGCATTACTCACCTATCTACTTCCAGAATAATTCTAGATTATTTATATCTATATTCTTATTTGGACTCTCCTCATGGTGTCAAAATCCTAAGCTGAGATAGTAATATAAAAACTGTCTGAAAATATTAAACTTTATAGGGCTATGAACAGAGTTAATTTTTTGACAATATGGGTTGCCATATGGGTTGATTCCAGGAATGCAAGTGTGATTTAATATATTTTTAAATCAATAAATAGAATTCACCAAAGTAACAGATTAAGGGATAAAAATAGCACAACCATTTCAATAGATGTAGATAAATATTGCTAAAACTCAACACATGTTCATGATAAAAATTCTCAGAAAACTAGAAATAAAGGGTAATTTTCTAAATTTTATAAAGAGTATCTATTTAAGATCCTACAGAACGCCACATACTTAATGGTGAGATACTGAATGTTTTCTTCTGATGTTGGAAAAATGTCAAAGATGTCAACTCTTATAACTTCTATTTAGCATTTACATTAGAAATGCAATAAAACAAATATAAAAGGAAACATATAATGATTAGAAAGGAAGAAGGAAGAGAGTGACATGATTACATTCTTGGAAAATCTTTAAAAATTACAAAAATAATAGAAATAAATAAAGTTAGCAGGCTCCTTAATACAAGGTCAATATACAAAGACAATTGTATTTCTATTTACAAGCAAAAAACAATTAAAAATTAACTTGAAAGTGGTATCATTTTCAGTGGCATCAAAAAATCATATAGCTAGAAATAAATTAGTAAAAGTTCACAAAACACTACAAAATATTGCTGAGAGAAATTAAGAAAAGCCAATATAAATAAAATTACATACTATGTTCATGGATTAAAAAATGTAGTATTGATAAGATGTTGTAATATTGATAAGATATAAAATTTCCCCAAATTGATCTGTAGATTGAATTCAGTCACAATCAAAATGTGATTGAATTTGATCTGTAGGTCAATTTTGAGAAAACTGAAATTGATCTGTAGATTAGATTCAGTCACAATTAATATGCTAACAAACTTTTTTATGGTAGAAATTGCCAAGTTGACCCTAAAATTTATATGGAAATTTAAAGGACCCAGAATAGGAAAGGCAATCTTTTCCAAAAAGGAAAAAAACTGAAAAATATACTACCAAATATAAAAATTTATAGCATTTACCTTTCAGTAGATACTGACTAGGAGGAGGCAGGAGAGTGCTGGAAATATTCTGTATCTTTGTCTGTATGCTGGTTACATAGGTATATACATATGCAAAAATTAGTCAAGCTGAACACCTCATATTTGTGTATTTTACTGTATATACATCGTACCTTAGCTTAAAAAATAGCATGAAATTGGTAATAGGGAAGCCTCCATAATCTGGAATGTGCATTTTGTTAAAGAGAAGTTCACAGACAAAGTTACAAAGCACACACGTAATCCACCACCATGAGAGGAAGAATGTACTCCCAAAGAACAGAAAATAATAGAGCAATATGAAAAGATGGGCCGGGTGCAGTGGCTCACGCCTGTAATCCCAGCACTTTGGGAGACCGAGGCGGGCGGATCACGAGGTTAGGAGATCGAGACCATCCTGGCTATCACAGTGAAACCCTGTCTCTACTAAAAATACAAAAAAAAAAAAAAAAAAAAATTAGGGAGTGTGGTGGCGGACGCCTATAGTCCCAGCTACTTGGGAGGCTAAGGCAGGAGAATGGCGTGAACCTGGGAGGCGGAGCTTGCAGTGAGCTGAGATCGTGCCACTGCACTCCAGCCTGGGCGACAGAGCGAGATTCCGTCTCAAAAAAAAAAAAAAAAAAAGAAAACAAAAGATGTTAATATAACTATGTTTAAACTGAGAAGAATAAATCATAAATCAAAGGTCTATCAAAGAGAAAAATGAAGACGTAGAATCCATAAAATAATGACAAAATATATTCTATCTATCTATTTATCTGTCTATCCATCCATCATCTATTTGTACCTATCTCCTCCCTCCAGGTCTGTTTAAATCTAAAAGTTATGATCTGTTTCTTTATCCCACTACATTGCCCTCATGAATTATTAAAGAGATTAAAGAATTTTAATTTCCATGTTGTTGGTGTTTAAGTTTTTAGAGTTAGATCTTAATAAAAGAAAGATTTAGTAAGTATAAATCAGAAAGTTGAATCCTTTTTATTATCAAATCTAAGAAAACTGAATTTACTTTATATTTTTATTTAAAACCCTTTCATATCTTTTTTCTTTAAGAAAATGGTCCTATATATCTTACTTATTATAAAATATAGTGCCTATAAAATTGAAAGTATCTATAAAGTGCAAATATTCTTTCATATATTATTTCTAAAAGTATCAAGGTATTGGCCAAGATACAAACTAATGACATAGTAGCTATCAAATGTTTTTAAATCTAAATAGTTGAATCCGAATATATTATAAAATCAGCCTCTTTTTATCTTAAATTATAATCATTTGGTGTAAGTTGACAATTACAAGCTTATTTTTAAAATTTTGTCTTTTTAAACATAAATATTAATATTTTCGCAGGAAAATAATAATATAATAGGTAAAACATATAAACGTGGTCAACACAGTATTTTGCTGTTTCTGGTGTATGTACTCCAAAATATTTTAATCCATTTTGGCGTTCTAATTTGGAACGCGTGACTTGAACTGTACAAAGAAAGGTTGCAGAATTAGCACCTTGTAGTAGTTTTTCTGAAGGAATAGAAATAAAATATTTACAAGGTTCCAAAAGAGTTTATTCTTCTTATACCAGTATGCAAGATCCTAGGTCATAAGAATCCAGTAATGTAGCTATAAAAATAAATCAAAATGCAAATATTGGCTTTATACCCAGAAGATAAATTACTTGAAAGGCTCAGCAGTATAATAAACTGAAAATTCAAGAATTTGTCAGGATACATTCTTATCTTAGGACACTGACAAACCATAAATTCAGACTAGAGGCTATAGTTGCCTTTTGTTTTTGTTTTGGAAATTGTTACTAAGGATTATTTATGAAGAATATTTAAGCTAGATGAATGTTTTACATTAGTGATGAATGCTATAATTTGAAAATGTTGAATATAGCTTAGTTCCTTTCTTTTGTATCCTGAAGATTGTTGGTAAAGCTGCTCTCAGACCCAGAGAATATAGTTAATCCCATGAGAGATAACATCAATGTTTTCATATATTTTCCTTAATACTTAATCTATTATTAGTGTTAACTACTCTTTAAGGCAGACTGTGGTACACTGCAGTAGAGACAGCCAGGATTCACCCAGGGAGACCCGGGAGGTGAGTTACCTAGGATGGGGATATACTCCTAAGAAATTTCATTCCTGGGTTTGGGAAAATTAGTCCAGTATTAGGAGCACTGAGGGAAGAAAAGACCTTCTTGCATTAACAGCTGACATTGTCATATCTGGCTATCTCATAGTAAAGAATGAGGATTGATTTTATTAATTTTAGTTTTTACGCATATTTTGGAGGACAATCAGGGTTGGATAACTTCTAGATACATGGTTTTATCCATTAGGAAGGAAAAATCATAGATTTTGGATTTGAAGCTTGGGTTTAAGACAAAGAGAGTAACACCCAATCATGAAGCCCTTCTGTCCTCGCTTTCCATATTGTTGAAAAACCCCTTAAAGTACAGGTAGAGGAATAATGATAATAATAGTATCTATTATTGAACACTGACTAGCAAAACCTTGTCTTAACTTAGTTGATCAAATAAAGTTGATCGATGTGGACTTATTTCAGTTTAAGTTTTTTTGTTTTTTGCTTTTGTTGTTTTATTTTTGCATATAGCTATAAAGCATGTTTATATTTATGTTCACATTTTTGATATAAATACATATAAACTTTACATTTTAAAGTAAAGTTTAAAGTGTACAGTAGTTGTGCCATATCTTTTATGGTCCAATGTGAAGCCCAGGGCAATATTGTCATTTAAATTATTTTTGAAACTGGTGTCACTTATTACTAGTTTTCTAATCTTGGGCCCATTGCCTATCTCTCTGACTGCGTTTCTTCATTTGCAGAATGAAGGTAATGATTTTGCCTACTTCATTGGGTTGTTGCAACACTTTTAGTACAATTTGTTACAAGGAGTAATATACAGCAATAGACATCTGTTAAGATTACTCTTTCTCGTCTCAAAATTTTAGCAAGGTCTTATTTTTGCAAACAAAATTTCCAGAGGTCAGGGATCACATTTAAAAAGAAGTCTCTTGGTAAAATTCCCAACATTACACAATGTGCCTGAAGGCTTCTGATAAATGCTGTTCGATTGCGTGATTCCGAATGACCAGGTAAGAAGGATTCAGAAATGAGCTTTCCAGTACGTCAGATAAATGAGTCAGTAGAAAGCACAGCAGTAATAAATTCAGTGATTCTATGGCATAATTTAGCAGGCTTTAAATGATCTGCTAACTGTTCTTTAGTAATGGTATTGCCTTTCCTTAGCCAAATTTACTGCTGATATTAAGCGGGGGAATTAAATTCCTGTGATTAACAACGTTGTATTACTTAGTATCAAAAGAATGTGTGGTAGAAAGGGACTTCTGAGAACAGAATGGGAAGGGACTCTCACTTTTAGGGGGCAGCATGAAGACCCTTTGTTGAACATAAAATGTTATTGGCAGCTATTCAGACATTTTAATTTCTATCTTTCCTTTGCAAAATAAATAAGCTCTCTGCAAATTTGTACACAATTTTGTGCTTCTCAAATAAAAAAAGAAGAAACCCAAAACATTGGGATGGTATGAGAGGGAATATCATGATAATATATTAAGTTTTAGCTCTGCAGAAGTAGAAGACCTTCACGTTCTAATTTTGAGCATCTTCTAATTGTTCTCTTTAGAATAAACATTGTGGTTCAATTTTAGACCCAGTTATCTAATTCTCTTAAGATATTTTTATCATCCTGTTCAATTAGAAATATTAAGGTCTTGCAATGAGCTAATCTACAATTTACATGGGAAGTTCCTCTATTTTCTTGATTTCTTCAGCTATCCAGCTGTATACAGTGGGATAATTCTTTATGTTGACTTGATTCTAAGGCTTTCTGTTACTTCCTATGCTCCAACTTTTCCAAAATCATATTCCTGATATAAAGTGTAGCTATTATATTCAAAATGAACAGAAAATTCTTTTGTCTTTATCATTTCCTAATAAACCCTTGAGAATAAGCCCTCCTTGAGATTATTGTAGAGAATGACTCATTATGGCTAAAGAACATACATCTATATCTATATTGCACATACATTTCAATATTACTTATGTTTATGTAGCACATCCATGCACAAAACAATAAATGTATTTGGCAGCAAGTATTGTATAGACATATTAACTTCATGGAGTAGGAGAACAGATGTCTTCTGGATATACATCACACATTAAGGAAATTCTAGCCTTTCCTGTTTTACATGGGGAGAAACAGAAGGACCGTACTCCAATTGCCAATATCTATTCTGTTTACCAGTTTCACTTTAACTCCTGGTATTCTTGGAAATAGATAAGAAAGAATGAATAACATGTTGGATTTATAGTCCATCTTATAATTCTGTCTTTTTCAACTCAATATTATTTAAATGTATTTTTGGAAAGTGGAATGGGGTCTATTTGAAACCTTGCTCTGCTTATAATTGACTCTATTGTGGAGCCCTCTTTTCCTCCTCTTATGAGAGTCAGCATACTATTTTATTTCTGTGATTCTTAATTTTTATCTACATCTCCTATTTTCTCTTTCATTCTTTTTGTCTCATGCAGATTTGTTGTTGTTATTGTTCTGACACTATTACACTTTAAAGAAAAAAATTTAAGGGTAGTTTTATTATTATAATACAACACTACCTGCTAATTGCCTACTCAAATGCCATTCTTTCCTACTTCCACAGAAGAAAACCTGGAATTTACTTCAACTAAAGACTCCAGTTCTCAGATTGCAGATGGTGGTGGCCGTGATATGTTGGGTGGGGCTTCCGGGAAAGCTCCTCAAGGGGGCTGAGTCAACTAGGAAGGAGATGTATCCTTCACCTACCCTCTACCATCCTTTTCCTGCTACGAATGCAGATAGAATGGACTATGAGGTGACCCCTGAGGAAGAAAGCCATATTCTACTGGTGGAGCTGGGTCACTCTTGTCTCTGACGTTGCCATATCTCCTCTGTACCTGTTTTAAGTGAGAGAAATAAACTTTTGTCTTGCTTAGGCCATGTAGTTGGGTTTTCAGCCAACTCAAACACTGTATACACTTATATTCAGAATTTGTTTTGACTGAATATTGGCTCATTGCAACTTCCACCTCCTGGGCTCAAGTGATTCTCCCACAACAGCCTCCTGAGTAGCTGGGGCTACAGGTGCACATTACCTCATTTAAAATTTTTTTTGTAGAGATGAGGTCTCATTATGTTGCCCAGGCTGGTCTCGAACTCCTGGCCTCAAATGACCTTCTTGCCTCAGCCTCCCAAAGTGCTGGGATTACAAGTATTAGCCCAGTGTCAACAAAGTTTTCTTGATTCTTGGCATTTTTCTTTTAACATTAAAAGATAGGGACACAGGAAAAGATGAATATTGGGTTTTAACAGGAAATAAAGAGAGGCATTCTGTTTTGCATAAGTTGTTTTGGGGGTGTTGGTAGTGCATCTGATTGAAGTTGTGCGCTATTTCTTGGTCTCCCAAGAGAGGTGTGGGCCCTCTTTATCCTGAGAGAAGAAAATATTAGAACTACTATTTGTATTTCATTTTATTTTTTAGAAAACAAGCTTTACCTTTCATCACCTGTGGATGAGTGGCTCTGGCTGACTCATGTGGTTCCTGTCTTGTACCAGAATGTATTATGTACAGAAAAGGAGGTTTCCTGCACCAAGAGTTTAATTTTGCACCAAGTATGGGCTGACAGTGGTACCCTTATATGTCTAATCAGGGCTCTGCTACACAATGACATTACTGGATAAATGAATTTACAGGATTCATTATTGAGTTTTAACTAAATGAGGTAGCCTGGGAAATGGATAAGAGGCCTAAAATATTAATATGGGGATTATAGTTCAAAATATTTATGAGCACACATGCACCATAAGAAAGTGTTAGAGCTGACACTTCTCCTATTAGGAGCTTTTTCAGCCACATTACATGGTTAAAACGATGATTATCTACTCAGATCTGACAAGGTTTGCCAAATGCATTCACAATTATCCACCTGTAAGTTTTGTATTAATGGCTAATGACAAAATAACAATGCAAAGGCTATAATGGAAAAATAAACATTAGGTACTATGCTTAGTACCTGGGTGATGAAATAATCTGTACAACAAACCCCCATGACACAAGTTTACCTATATTTTAAATAACAAACCTGCGCATGTACCCCCAAACCTAAAATAAATGTAAAAATAAAGAAAATGGACATTTGGAAATCTTTTCATTGTTTCAATAATGAATGTATTTAGTGTGCCATTGTTAAAGAGTCACACACACACACATACATTTAAGAATCTTGAAAACAGAATTTTCTAAACTGGTTAAAAATATTTCATACTTTAGTGGTTACTTCAACCCACTTGTTAAAAATATAATCAAGCAACATGGTCTAATATGTTTTCAATGACAACTGTTTGGCATCAGAGAAAATGGGTATTTACTAGATGAACATTTTCTTTTAATGATGGCCATAACCAAATGAAAGATACTTCATATAGCTATCAAAATAAATTGAACTTAGAATCTGACCTAGAACCTATTCTATAACAAGACATTAAATCAAAATTTCAAAAAGACAGAATATTCAACCATATTGTATTCAATATTATATTAAAAATAGTATTCAGTTCATATTATTCTATTTTGAATTAATGTTATAATGTATGCAATATAGTCACGTAAAATTATACATAAATAAATATACACATATTAGGACTATGTGATGAAGATTTTTGTACTAGTAGAAGAACATTATAGAAAAAACTTGAAGACTGTTGATTCAGTAGAAAATTCGAGGTTAGAATGAGAGATTACCTTTTGGTAGATAATGATTAGAGTCATTCAGGAATTGCATGTTAAATGACAAAAGGACTGGTCAGAGTGCTCCTCTGTCTCATGACTATTTGGAATCTAATTATAGAGTAGAATCATATGAGAAACATAATCCACAGACTCTATAGTAGAAACCAGTATGAAAATGCAAAGGGCTCTGTGTTCAGCAGTCCTCAGTTTCAATTCTGCTTCCACCATTTCCTAGTTGTATACTCTGGGCAATTTATTTCTCAGAAACTCAGGCTCCATATACATAAAATGTAAATAATAACTAATTCTTTGAATTTGAGCATTTCTGAGACAATATGTGTGGGATACTTAGCCTCCTGCCTGGCATGCAGTAGGTAACCAACAAATGACGGTATTTGTTATGGCATCTACTCAGTGTGATGTCACTGAGAAACTGAATTCCCTAATAGTTATCATATGAGGCTGAATTTCATTTGAGAATAGGAGTCATTCTCATTTCTTTTGTTTTATTTTCATTACCACAGTGATGTGAGCTGGTATTTGCTCAAATTTTGTGGTTTCGGATGCATATATTTCTCTTCTGTAGGTAGGGATCTAAAAGATTCATATCATCTGTGGTATTCTCCCAAAAGCTTATGTTTAATTTTATGTCTGATCGCAGTCCATCTTGCATCTTAAATCCTTTTATTTATTAGACATCACATCCCTTTTATTGTTCCCCTTTGCTATTTATTAAATGATATTGCTTTATAAAAATATTCCAGTGCACTTTTATCTTGGGCTTTAATCTCTCCATCTACCACCATTGTGCTTAAGACACTACTTTTAGACCAGCTGTTCTTTGGACAGAACCCTGCTGCCAAACAGTGCTGCCCACCTACCAGGAAATCTCGAAAACATCTTTTGTAGGCTTTCCAGTATATGTGCAGATTCTAAGAAATTCATATTTTCTCAGCCCCAAGGGTCCTAATGCTATTCAGAAAACCCAGCCCTCAGCCAAGCTCTGTGCTTAATTATTTCTGTCAGTCACCTGTCAGCAGAAGTGGTGCACTCACCTTTGGCTTTTCATCTATAAACCTGAGTCTGAAAGAAGATAGTCAGGAGGTTGAAGTTAAGTGTAATGGCAGGCTGATCTGAGTCTCTAGAGATCTCCAGATGTCCCCTTCCCACTCCCATCTCCTGGAAGTATCCTCTCCTTATGAGACTCCTGTAGTTACCATCTTCATCTCCTCTGAAGCCCTGGAACCTTTTCTGACACCCAACTCTCAAACCCCATGTCATAGGTGGGAGGGAGGTAGGAATCGTCTGCAGCAGCTGTTCTTTTTTCTATGGTAGGAGATTTTTTAATTCCCTTTTAAAAAATTCAAAAGGAATAGCCTTTGCTTATTTCTTTATTTGTTTACAAACTATTGGTATTACCTATTTTATTTATTTCTATTTTCTTTTCATTAAGATCTTAGGCCAGATTCTCTAGGACTAACTCAAGGGAAAATTAGACAGATGCTCACATCGTCACATCCTGTCAGTGTATCCTAAACCTGGCTGCACAGCAAAATCATTTGGGAAAGTTTTTTCTTTAATTATATCTTCTGGAAATGAAACTTAAGTTCTTAGAAGTTACTGAATGAGATGTCTGAGATGGGGCCTAAGAATCCTCACCAAGAATATCACCCCTTAGTTACAATCAGTAAGTGTTTCTCAATTGTATCCAAGAACTATATTTATCTCCTACTTGAGAGCAAAGTCTATGCCTGTGCTTTTCCTGATTTCTCCCCACTTCCCTCTGTTTAGCGCTTTTTCATTACTGGCCTCCAGACCTTTCTTTCCTCCTGCCCCATGACACATCATTATACTAGGTAGAACAAGGATGCTAAAGTTAATGTATCATTGTAAGAACAAACACAAATGAAAAATAAGAATGTAATTCTCCCTATAGAAATTAGAGGAAGAAACTTCTACCCCGTCCTTTTTTTAAGAACGTTTACTTTAGGAAACTTGAAATTTTATGTTATTTCTGCTCTCTTTAAAACATACGTAAGTCCTTTTGAAAACTAAATAGGGCTTTTCTCAGCTTTATGATCCAGCAATGTCTTTCTCAAGGACCTTGGCGCCATCTCTCTGAAATGTAAGCATTAAGGAAGAGAGCACCTCTGTCTCCCAGATTCTTTGAGAGGTGGCACCTTAGTGGGTGCCTTGATCCAAGTTGCAAAACTGCCTCGTCATATAGATATGAGAAGTTTATTTTTCCTCTGAATAAAGCCAATTAACTAAAACAAATGGTCACCCCAATTACCCATTAAAGTTAGGATGAGCTATGTGGGACAAATTGTGCCGTCAAGTCCTCTTACTTAAAGACTGGGTATTGTTTATTTTGAAACATACATGTAATGGGTTGTATCTACTTGAATAAAAAAAGGGAGATTTTTTTCTGTCTTTACAATCTCTTAGCACATTGCCTATAATATACATCACCTTCTGGGCCAGGTGCGGTGACTCACGCCTATAATCCCAGCGCTTTGGGAGGCTGAGGTGAGTGGATCACGAGGTCAGGAGATTGAGACCATCCTGGCCAACATAGCGAAACTCCGTCTCTACTAAAATACAAAAATTAGCCGGGTGTGGTGTCGCGTGCCTGTAATCCCAGCTACTCAGGAGGCCGAGGCAGGAGAATCTCTTGAACCAGGGAGTTTCAGTGAGCTGAGATCGCGCCACAGCACTCCTGTCTGGCGACACTGCGAGACACCATCTCCAGAAAAAAAAAAAAAAAAAAAAAAAAAATTACACACACACACACGACATTCTGGTTTAATGCTTTGTCAAAAAATAATATTATTTTCTTGTTCTCTACTACCTTTGTGAAGGATTTCTGGGTTGGGAGAAGATTTTGTTGTTAATTATATTTCCCCGACATAATCAGTTAAGGAGGATTTGTGAAGGAAGAAACAGTGTTTACTATAAGTAAGAGAAATTTAATTGATTGGAGAAAGGCCTGAAGAAGATGGGGAGGAGAAATGGGGTAGAATGGACGGGGTTAGAATATAAGAGTGGATAGGGCAGACATTTAGAGGTGAGCTAAGACACCTACTTTTTATTTCCGTATTTACTTTTCATTTGAGGGAAATGTAAGAGATTTCTGTGGGATATGGCTTTCCTAATGCAGGCAGGGCTGGGTTGAAGGCATGAAGCAAGGTGAAGGGGTAAGATTTCTTTCCCAAACCAACAATGGTGAAAACAATGCGAACATACATAACTTAACGACATATTCTCTTTAAGGGAAAGAAAAACTCTGAAAAAGACTTCAAAAAAGAAACAATAACTGACAAGAGATCAAGGAGATGAACAAAATGTTCAGTAAAACTGGAAGAACAAGCTTTTGAGGATATGCACAGGAAAAATATGGCTAAAACAAGCAAAAAACTCAAGAGCCACCCTCTGTTCCCATGCCATCTGACAAGTTTCTCTTCTTCCATGATCTCGCTTTCCTCTGCAGATAGGCAACTGTCTGCCTCCCCAAGGGAGGTTGGTCATAGAGCTACCTCAAATTGTAAGTGCAAGGAACTGGGGGCAAGCAACCTTCATGCTCTCAAAAACATCAGTGCCCATATGGCTCTAACTCAATTTTCTCTTCAGCAGCTCCTGGCACTTGGCTGTAGATAGGCTTTGGCTGACACTGTAATCAATTCATTTGTAAGAATGTTCTAAGAACTCTGCCATAAGCTAATGTGAATAGACAGAGTACACATCACCATTTAAGAACTGCAGGCTGGGCTTATACAAATGATCCTATGCCTTGTAGATAAACAAGATGTACCATTCCACAGGGGCAAACTGCTTGGATGTAGATTTAGGAAATGTTTGAGCACTGACATTCAAACTCTTGACAAGCCACTATATTTCTGTTTGCTTCATGAACTGGGACAAGTATAAACAGTATCTTACTAGCTTTTTGACCTTAGTTTAAATTTATCTAATATTCTATTATTACAGTTAGGCAAAAGGTATGGCTGGCTGGCTTCCAGGGCTACAAAGGATCTCATAAATAATAAAGGAGAAAACTAAATGTGGAATTATACCCACTTACTGCAATGAAAGTGCTATGGTTTGAATGTATGTGTCCTTCCAAATTCCATACCTTGCAACCTAATACCCAATGTGATAGTATTAAGAGGTGGGTATTTTGGAAAGTGATTAAGTCATGAGGGCTCTGCCTTCATAAGTGAATCAGTACTCTTATGAAAGAGATGGAAGGAAGTGCCCTCCTACCTTTTGCCGTTCCATTCCTTCTGCTTTGTGAGGACACAGCCTTTGTCCTCCAGAGAATGTGGCCATTGTGGAAAAAGAAAGTAGCCTTCACCTTCAGGGAAATGCAAATCAAAACCACAATACGATACGACCTTCCTCCTGCAAGAATGGCCATAGTAAAAGAATCAAAGAAGAGTAGATGTTGGCGTGTATGTGGTGAACAGGGAACACTTCCACACTGCTGTTGGAAATGTAAACTAATGCAGCCACTATGGAAAACAGTGTGGAGTTTCCTTAAAGAACTAAAAGTAGAATTACCATTTGATCCAGCAATCCCACTACTGGGTGTCTACCCAGAGGGAAAGGAGTCATTATTTGAAAAAGATACTTGCACATGCATGTTTATAGCAGCACAATTCACAATTGCAAAATTGTGGAACCAACCCAAATGCCCATCAATCAACGAGTGGATAAACTGTGCCATATATATATATATATATATATATATAAAATGGAATACTATGCAGCCATAAAAAGGAATGAATTAGCAGCATTTGCAGTGACCTGGATGAGATTGGAGACTATTATTCTAAGTGATGTAACTGAGGAATAGAAAACCAAACATCGTATGTTCTCGCTGATACATGAGAGCTAAGCTATGAGGATGCAAAGGCTTAAGAATGATATAATGGACTCTGGGGACTTGGGTGGAAGAGTGGGAGGGGGGCGAGAGATAAACAACTATAAGTATGGTGCAGTGTATACTGCTCTGGTGATGGGTGTGCCAAAATCACCACTAAAGAACTTATTCATGTAACCAAATACCACCTGCACCCCAATAACTTATGGAAAAATTTTTTAAAAAGTTAAAAAAAAAAAAAGAAAAAAAGTAGCCTTCACCAGACACCAAATCTACTGGCACCTTGATCTTGGACTTCCCATCTTCCAGAATTGTGAGAAATAAATTTCTATTATTTACAAATTACCCAGTATATGGTGTTTTGTTTTAGCAGCAGGAATGGACTACAACAGAATATGTGGCATATTTGTCTAATTTACCATACGTGACAGTAGTATGAATTATCTCATGGTGGCTTTACTAGGCAGCACATAATTTTTTTTTTTTTTTTTTGCCTAAATGTCCATCATATGCTGTTTTGAATGGCCTCATCTGGGACAAATCTCCCTTTGGTTGATTTACACATCATGACTCAGATGTTGAAAACATATCTGAGTTTAAAGTATGAGAACCTGTGAACTCATGGCTAGGTTTGGCTTACTTTTGCCCAAATTTATTAAAATAAATTTAACAAATATTTTGTGGTTAACTACAGTATTGGGGCACCAGAAACAAAAATAAAACAAATGATCCCAATCCTGTAAAAGTATACATTGTCATTCGGCAAAAAAAAGCAAAACACATAACTCAAATAATGTAATTCAGTGTGCAGTCTCAGTTGTCCAAACATATTGTGCTTAGCTCTAAATGGGAAAAAACAAGTAAAGTGCTTCAGAGTGGAGGTAGGACTTCAACTGCTTTGAAGAATTAGTAAAATGTAGCCAAAGAAAGGAGGAAAGTGGGGGCAGTCCAGCATGAGCTAGCAGCCTGAGCAAACGAATAGAGGTGTGGGAATAAGCATTGCCAGTTCAGCAAACTGTAAAGATATTGGCTTGTCTGGAAGAATAAATTTCTATTATGAAGCGTATCACTTAGGATTAAGTACAAATGACAGAAAAATCCTAACTGGCAGAGGTTTGTTTAACACAGAATTGTATTTCTCGCTCATGTAAAAATCCAGATGTATGTGGTTTGAGGATGGTAGAAACACTCTGATGTGAAGGATCCAGGATCTTTTCATCTTGTTGCTCTACCATGTATTAATTCTAGGTCCAAGATCATCCATATGTGAGATGACTTTTCAGTTATGTTGTCATCATTCTAGCTAGAAAGAAGGATACCAAGGAGAAGAGTATACTTTCCTTAAAGTGTTCCTGTAAGGACATTTCCTGGAAGTTGCAGGTACAAGTCCACTGACATCCCATTTATCCCACTGACCACACCAAGATACAAAGGGAGCTGAGAAATGTAGTCTTCAGTTCAGTCTGCCATGTGCTTGGTTAAAATAATCAGAGGTTTTATTGCTATAGAAAGTAAGAGTAGATATACAAAACAACAAGCCATCAGTGCCACAGAAAGTGATAAGGAATGAGATAGAATACTTTGAGTGGTCTAGGTCAGGGCTCTTGATCAGAAAAGCAAACTTTTTCTGGAAAGAACAGGCTAGTCAATGTTTTAGACTTTGTGAGCCATACAGTCTCTCGTGCAACTACTCAACTCTATCATTGCAGTGCAAAAGCAGCCATAGATAATAAGTAAGTAAATGATTGTGGTTGAGTTTCAATGAAACTTTATTTGCACAAGCAGATAGCGAGCAAAATTTGTCCCACAGTCTATAGTTAGTTCTCTGATTCACAGCCTAAATTATAAACTTGACTTGATCAATAGGAATCTTTGAAAATTTCATAATGCATACAATATGGAGAGAGTATGCTATGAGTATGACCAAAGAATCACTGAGCTATTTTTTGGGAGAGAGTCTAGTTCTAGTTGATCAAAAATGGGATTTACAAACTGGAGAAAGTCATTTGCCTCACAAAGTTACAGGTTTCCTCATTTTGCTAATGATGGGATTGAACAGAAACTCTCAAAAGTTATTTTCAATTCTAAAAGACTATAGAGATATGAGAATTAAGACGTCTAATAGCGGGAGGCTGAGATGGCAGGATCCCTTGAGCCCAGGAGTTCAAGGCTGCAGTGAGCCTTGATCGCGCCTCTGCACCCCAGCCTGGGCTAGAGTGAGACCCAGTCTCAAAAAAAGAAAAAGAAGAAGAAAATTAACTAATTGGAAAATTGTTATTGGGATCCTGGTGTGATTTGAAGACTTTTTAAGGAACAAATAAACAGAAAACAAATTATAATTAATTAAATAAGGGGTTAAAGAAAGTCATAAAGTTCCTGCCTGGTTTTGAGTGAGGGCGAGGGGTAGGGAGCTGAGAGAATGGTGGTCCTACAACAAAGACAAAACGATAAAGGGAGATTCTGTCTCCAGAATAATCCCAGGGAGAATGCTTCTTCCTCAACCCAGGTGTTTCTTTTATGTAGGTTTCAGCAAACTTTTTCTGTAAAGGGTCAAATAGCAAATATTTTAGGCTTTGTGAGCCATAGGGTCTTTGTGATAACTACTCATCTCAGTCATTGTAGTGAGAAAGTAGCCATAAACAATATGTAAACAAATGAGTATGGCTGTGTTCTCATAAAATTTTATTTATGGGCACTGGAATTTGAATTTCATATAATGTTCATGTGTCATGAAATCTTCTTCTTTTGATTGTTTTCAACCATTAAAAAATGTAAAAACCATTCTAATTTTGTGGGCTGTGCAAAAACATGGAGTGGGCCAAATTTTTCATAAAGTGACCCATTTTATGGCCTAAAGTGGACCATAATTTGCCCATTCCTGCTCTGTGTGCAAGCGATTCTCTTGCAATAAGACTTCTGACCTCTGTTGACATTCCTATCCTGTTTGGGAATCTGAAGAGAGAAACTGGGCATATGTAGCTCTAACCCTTTTGCTTCCTTATCATTAGGAGAAAGGAGCACATTCCATTCTTTTCCCCTACAGAGATGCTCTGCCAATTTCAGGGTCAGGAACAGGAAGCTATCTTTGGTTCAACACAGGTTATGTCTGTTGATTTCTGGGATTCAGTTTGTGGGAAAGTCACTTGTCCACAGACATAAACTACATCCATCAACCCAGTTTTATCTGAGTGATATTTTGCAACCGACAATCTTATTTGATTTAAAATTTGCACAGTAAGAGGAGAGCTATTTATCAGGCTACCTCAATGACCTTGGGAAGTGCTATCTGTTTCCAGAGTCGGACAAGTCATTGTTTCGGAGACTTAAGTGCTTGAAAGTGCGCCTGGAGACTCCCTAGCCATAGACATTAGAGACTGGAAGAGTGCTTAGAACATATTAATTAATGGGTGAATTAATGAATATGTAAATACTAAAGCATGGGAATAGGATTCTGAAATGGTGGTGGAAGACACAGGTAGGTTGACTTCACCTAAACTGGGGCTACATTCCTGCAGTTTTGAAACTGCCTATCAGCTGACACGTACAGTTGTCAATGGCTTTTACTCAAGCTATTAGGATTAATAAGAAATACTGAGACAACTGAGAATTTAATTTGTACCATGAATCTCTTTGTCTTACAGAAATATTGAATTTATTTGCAAAAGAAGAAGCATAACTAAGATATATATATTTAACTTCTGAGGAGCTGTTTGAGAAAAATAAAGTTAAATTCCTTTTAATAAAAGGTGTTCTGTTGCTTGTCTCAGAAACAGAGTGAGAGAAGAATCCATGAAAAAGAGATTTATTTGGATTCCTAATTAATGCATGTAAATACAATAGGAAAATCGTCAGCAATTACTGAAAGCTGCCATGTAGATTTAAAACCAATGCTAAAGGATTTTACATTGTAGCTTTGTCAGCAAGTTGGCATCACTTTTTCATTTACTCCTTCTTAAGATCTCTCCTCTGTTCTAGTTAAATTGGTCCATAAAAGAAACTGGGCCTGTATCCCAACATGTGGTATCTATCTGTGTGTGTTATTTCCCTTATTTGCTATACACTGAACCTTGTCAATTGCCAAATGTCACTCTTTCTTCAACCATAGCCAAAGGACCAAGGATGTCTTCCTACCCCAACTCTTATTCATTTCCCCCTTCTCCAAACGCTTTTGGCACAAAAAGTCTATTCTTTCTGTTCAGCAAGATGGATATTATTAACATTCAAGACCACTCAGATTTTGACAAAACTATAGAGGCATTTTCTGGATCTGCAAACTTATTTTGTTACATAGTATTTGTATAATCATTTTATGTGTATTGAATAACTATAAATGGCACACTGGTAACAATTACTGTTAGTGAAACTGGGCCTAATTAAGACAGGTTATGGGTTATGTTCATTTTCTAGGATGTTAATGTAACTTCATCCTTTTCTCTCCTATTTAAGAACGCCTAGCTGAATACAAGTAAAAGTGAAGTTTGTCATGATGGGGTGTTCTAGTGACCTATTGCTGAGAAACAAACTAGCCAAAATTTAGTGGGTTAAAAAAGACATTTATTTTTCTCACGAATCTGCAAGTTGGACATGACTTGGAGAGGTGGGTCCAATGTCAGTAGTAGTGTTTCAGTGGGGGCGCGAGAGGGTCCACTTCAAAGAGGGATCACTCACATCCATCGATGCAAAGTAGTGCTGGCTGCTTGCTGGAAGCTCAGCCAGGGCTGGGGTTGCTGGCTGGAGGCTGGGGGCTTGGTGGGTAGAGGTCTTGCTTTTTTTCTATGTGGGCCTCTCTACAGGCTGCTTGGGTTTCTTCATAACTTGTTTCCAAGAGGATACAACCCAGGGAAACAAGGCCAAAATACACGGCACTTTTATGACCTTGCTTCAGAAATCATATAGTGTCACTCTGTCCTACTTATTGGTTGAGGCAGTCTCAAAAGCCTGCCCAGGTTTAAGGGCAGGGATGTAAATGCTACCTCTGGATAGTCATTGGCGATTCTCAAAGAGCTTATGGGATAGGAGGTATTGCTGCAGTCATCTTTAGAAAATATAATCTGTCAAAATCGAGTTTACTTTGAATGAAACTAATAATTGATTGCAACATACTGTTACTTTAACCACACTTTGGCATAAACCACAGGGTCTCCTGGTTTATAGTTCAATGTTTTGTGTTTAATATTAAATTGGTCATAAATTATTTTCTCATTGACTCATGCTGTGCATGCTTTATACCCCAAACTAGATTAAAGGGAAAAGACCATGTCTTACAGTTTTTTAACCACTCACAATGAGTGTCAGAATGCTGGACATCTAAGTGAACAAGGAAGTGCTCATTGGGAGGTGAACAGAGAAGGGTTTGTGCCATAAATTCTGTCTAAATAAAGAAAGGAGATTGGTGTTTTAAACAAAACCCTGAAGTAAACATCCTGTTGCGTATTGTCCTACAAAGCAGCCATCTTAGAAGGTTCCACACCTTTTCCAAAGTGGCTGCTCTTCCTGATAACATTAAAAAAATTCGCATTAATACTTGCTTCTTGGGCTTTAGCAGATGGTTACAGATGTCTGTGATTTCAGCTTAAGGGGCTGTTACAGCAGTACAAGGTGGAGGAAGTTCACTGAAAATCAATCACAACTTTGCCTACAGCCTGGGCCAGATGCATTACTGTTGGCCATCCAAGACACATACACATGAACACACACACACACACACACACACACACACACACACACACAGAGAGAGAGAGAGAAAGAGAGAGAGAGAGGTAGATACATAGGTAGATAGGTAGACAGATCCCAAATTTGGTCCTTTCTCCTCATTGCTTCTGGTGCCATCTCACCAGGTTACAGCATTCTGTCTCATTCTCTCGGTTTTGACTCTTGTACTATGTGTTCTTAGCATAACGGCAACAGCAAGAATCATCTTTTAAAAATGTAAATTGAAATTCTGATTCATAATGTAACATAGATAAAACTTGAAACATTGTGCTAAGTCAGACACAAAAGGACAGTTGTTGAATGATTTCACTTATCTGCGGTGCCTAGAATAGGCAGTCATAGAGCTAGAAAGTAGATTAGTGGTAACCGGTGCGAAGAGAGGGAAGGATGGAGAGTCATTGTTCAATGGGTCTGAGCTTCTGTTTGGAATAGTGAAAATGTTCTGAAAATAGTGATGTTGATTGTCCCACATTGTGACCTTACTTAATGCCACTGAATTGTACACTTAAAATGGTTAACATGCTAAATTTTATGTTATATTTATTTGCTACAATACAAATGTAAATCAGATTATTTGGCTTGTCATAAAGTCTCTTTAATGGTCTTCTTGTGCTCTTAGGAAAGATTCAAATTTTTTACCATGTCCCACAGTGTGGTGCATGGCCTTTCCTCTCACCACTCTCTGCTCTTGCTCCGTGGGCCCTGATTTGCCCCCATGATGTCTTTTAAGTAGGTTCACATTGTTCTTCAGGGGCATTTGCCCTGTGGTTCCCTCATCTAGAAAGCTTTCCCCACCCCGGAATTTCCCATCACTCACTCCCTTATTTTCTTTAATCTCTGCTCAGTTGTTGTCTTCCTTGAAAGACCCATCTTGCCCATCCCCTCTAAAGTAAATGCCTTCCATTCCCAACTTCACAATTGTATGTCTCCCTGCCTGGCTTAAATGATCACTAATGACATCATATTATAAATGCTTTATATCTATTGTCCATTGCCCACATTAGTGTGCAATCTTTCTGTGGTCAGTGGCCTGTGTGTCTGGTTCACTGCTGTGTCTCCAGTGCCCAGAACAGCACTCAAATGAATGAAAGAATAAAATTAAAATATGCCCTTATATTTATGTGGTACTTGATTAATTTAAAATGTGCTATGACATATATCCTCAAAACAATCTAAGAAAATATCCTAAAAATAAACCTGGAAAGTTGACAGGGATATATTATGTACTTGAATAGATTCAGTGATGACCAATATTTCATGTTTATTATGTTTTAATGCATGGCTGTAATTATTAACACAGCTCACCTTATTATGTGTTTACAATGTTTCAGGCATTGAGATAAAAGCTTTATAAGTGTTATCATATTCACTTCTAATAACAGATGTTATGTATAAGTTACATAAAATAATTTTATTTTACAGATGAGAAAATTAAGGCTTAAAGCAATAACTTGCCCAGTGTTACTCAGCTAGTGACACTGATCTGAACCCAAATGTCTACCCACTACACTAGCTACAGAATAGGTGCTGAAAATCAGGGATTCCCAAGCATGGCTGTGAATCAGAATCACTTGGAGAGTTTAAAAATGATCTTAACATTTCAAACCAAAACCTATGTGCCAGATTTAAAAAATGTACTGATGGCAGTTTTTTTTTTTTTAATTTTCTTGACCATGGTGTGGACTTTGCCGCAGGTGAGCACCCACAGATGTCAGAACAAAGAAGTCACTTGAAGCCCTACATGGATTGTTTGAATTCAAAGCAGATACAGTAATTCAAAAAACAAAATTGTGGTTTTGAATTCCAAAACAAACCACTTAATAAACAAACCTCAAACCCTTGATTAAGAATACTGGGGTCCATATTTGTGAAAGAAAGGTTATCAGATTCCACTCTGTGGTTTCCACTATTCCACAGAACAACAGACTGGAAAAAAAAATAGACCAGGAGCCTTTTCCACTTGGAGAAGAGATTTAAAAACTCTTTAGGGTTGGCCATAAAAAGACTCAGGCCCACATCCTTACTCTCTCACCTCATCCCCATCATGGAGTTGCCTTGTACCCTGGGGAATGTAAAGTTCTGAGAATTTGGGAAGCAACTATGATGGGGCAACCAAGGAGATCAATCACAGTGTGACTACACCCCCTGAACCAGTTGATGACCGTACCTGGCTGGGGCAGAGAGAGGGAAGCAGTTATAAACGTCAGACAGCTGCTATTTCTATCCTAAGTGTCATTAAAAAATTTTAAAACAGCTTTATTCTGCTCTTATTTTAGAACTCTAAATTCCAAGTTAATCTCTTTCTCTCTCTCTGTGTAATATCTTAGAATCACTGTATACCGTTGATAAAAGTTACTTTAAGATTGGAAACAAGACAAATAAAGATTTGGTTTGTAATACTTCTCAATCTGAGTATGCTTCTAATTTCCAATGTGTTACTGTGTGTGGTAGGCAGACTTCTAAGATGGTGTTCATGCCTTTGTGTAATCCTCTCCTCTTTAGTGTGGGTTGGACCTTGTGACTTGTTTCTAAAGAACAGAATACATCAAAAGTGATGGGACTTAACTTCCATGATTAAGTTACCAAAGACTTCAACTTTCATCTTTGTAGGATGCTCTCTCTTGCTAGAAGACTCTCTTGCTTTCTTGGCTTTCTCACTTTGATGAAGCAAGTTACCATGTGGGAGAGACCCATGTGGCAAGAAATAAGGGCGGCCTCTAACCAACAGCCAGCAAGGAACTAAACCCCTCAGTCCAACAACCTACAAGGATTAAATCCTACCATCAACCACATAAATGAACTTGGAAGTGGTTCTTCCCCAGAAGTGCCTTAAGATGACTGCAGCCAGCCAACGCTTTGATTGCAGCCTGTGAGCCAACACTGAAGCAGGGAATGCAGCTAAATTGCATCTGGTTTCCTGACCCACAGAAGCTATGAAGATATTAAATTTTGTTGTTTTAAGACACTACATATTGGGATTAATTTGTTACACAGCAATAGATAACTATGATAATTAAAGCAAGTCTTAATTTTAACATGAATAAAAAATTAAGAAATGAAATACAACCTTACTCTGGAAAATATAATAACCACCTTGAACAAGGTATTAATAAGCAACCTAGATATTTATTTTGCTTTGTATGACATTTCACTCCTTTCTTTTTCAAGATTGAAGAAAAGAACACCTTTTCCTTGAAAATGAAATGGAAGACTAGCACTGGATTGAAAAACAAAATGTAGTGACTTTACAAGTTTCCAGCATAAATTATTTCAAGCTTTATGCACTGAGCCTTATGCTCAGGGTGTGTCAGGTGGCAAGTTTTGGTAAATGTTTCCATTAGTGTTTTCTTTTTGCTCTGCCCCAAATGATATGAATTTGTGTTTGGCCTTCATGATAATTCTGTCGGTAGGTTTATACTACAGGCAAATGGTAATTAAGCAGAAAACAACGTAAGAACAAGAGTGTAGATGGTTTTGGGCCTAAGTACCTTCAGCCAGTGATCCATCCTGTGGGCAGTTATGCATGCATGTGTGTGGGAAATCCTCATGGCAAAAAGAATTCATGTTTTATGAAGATTTCATTGTAATTGTCCTTAGAAATTTTTCCTCACATCTCATGTTGGAGGAAAAGCAATAAAGGGGATTCCTCCACCTCCAATACAGAATTATAGTCTGGTGATACTAAAATGATGATTGCCTAATTACCCTGATTTCTCACAAATCTTGGGTCTCAACAAATAAAAATTTCGGTTTGCCAATTAGCTTTTACTTAGCTTTCTAGGGTATGATGAAATATAATTTCTAGTATGACAAGCTGCATATGGAGGAGTAAAAAGCCCACAAAAAGTAAGAATAATTTAATTTTCCACCAACAATAGGCAGTAGCTTGCAGTGGTCTTTGCCTTGTATTGATTTTTAATAAATATAAATGCTTCATGGTTGGAAACATTTGTCCTGTGCTATTTGTACCAGATTCATATTGTTTAACAGTCTTACTCCATGAACTAGATGTTTCCTAGGAGATAACTGTTATGAGTGAGTTATTAAGATAACCTCACTGGAAAAATAAAAAAGAATAATTGCTCTTCAATGATGACACTTTGTTTAATGGGGCAATATTTTTTTCTTACAGAGCCCAGTGATTTCTCGCTAAGGGTAATGAGTGTACACAGCAGAGATGGAGCCTGACATCAGTTATTTTCAAGGTATGAGGGGTGGGAAGTTTTTCCCCAGCATCAAACATATCTGACAGTGGGAATAAAGCTGCTACATGGGGATGGCTTACTGTTTTTTTGCTTTCGTTTTTGCAGAACTAATCTGCACAACAAAATACATATCAATAGGGAACCTGGGCTAAGTGTCCAGAATTTGGTACAAAAATATACACATGTAGAAGATTAATACGCCTTCGCCTTACTTATGATTAAGTAGGCATTTTTCCTTCTGCTATCACAAGAAACATTAATATTTATCTTAACAGTTATATAATTTTTTGGATTTGTTAATATCTGCTCATTTCAGGAAGTTTGGAGAAGACAAAACATACACAGATATGTAAATAAAAATAACCCATAATCCCATTGCTCAAAGATAACTATTGTATTATTTTCTGGCATAAAGCTGTGCATGTATGTGTCCAGCTTTGCCATTTACTGTCTAATTTTAGGCAAATTACTGAATTTCCCTCTGCCTTGGTTGCTTGATCTATAAAATGGTGAAAATAGTAGCAAATAGGATTGTTGTAAAGATTAAATAAATGTATACACATGTATGCCTGTCACATCATAAGTAAAAGCTATTATTCTTATTATGTACATGTAGTTTGAAATTGAAATTGTACTATACATTTGGGTTTTTAGACTTCACCAATATTTCAGGAAAATTATTTCTAGTTCATCAAATAATATTCTACAATATGGTTTTAAATGGCTAGATGGAATTTGTCATATGAATGTATCACAATTTATTTAACACATTCTCTTTTTTATTAGATGTGTAATTTCTCTCACTATAATGCCATAATCAATCTCCTTTTATCTCCATTTTTACCACAGATGTGACTCATTCTTTAAAATAAAGGTTACATTGAAAATTCTTTAGTCAAACGGCATTTATGATTTAAAGATTTTTTTGTAAATATTGCAAAATTGCTCACCAATTTATATGTCTTATTGGAAATCTATGAAAATACATCTTTCTTACATCCAAACCACACACACACACACACACACACACACACACGCACACACACACTCTTATTTTTCTTTCTCCTCAAAAAAAAAACCAAAACCAACACCCAAACCAAAATCCTATAACAATTTTATATGGGTAAAAATCCTTTTCATTTTTCATTACTAATGAAGTTGATTTTTATGTGTCTATTGATAATTTCGAATTCCTTTATTTTGGTCTGGGTGACCATTTTTGAAATCTTTCTTTAGTTGCCTTTAGATAGAGATTTAGAGACACTGATAAATAAGAAAAAAGGAAGTATTCTCTTTCTATATATTTGATTAAGTACAATTAGCCAATGCCACAGCAACCTGCTACTCTGTTAAAACATAGGTAAATTAAGTTTCAGAAGTTGTCAGTTTAATTAGAAGCTGACAAGGGTGATTAAATCAGTTGATGTCTGAGCTGATCTAGTTAAAAAAAAAAACAAAAACAAAATGTAAATAGAAGCTTTACTTGACTTGCTTCCACACGAGGGCTCTCAATGCTGCTAAACTTCATTTCTAAAACTTTTCTTTTTAGAGTAGATGTGAACATGAATATTTCCTTAGTACTTAGTGAATTCCATTTTCACGGTTAACTACCTTAGTCTTTAGGAATGTTCCAATATTCTATGCGAAATATAATGTAAAGCAAAATGTCACAGATGATGTGACTGACAACATAGAAAATCCAAGAGAATCTACAGGCAGACTATTAGAATTTAGATCAGTAACTTTGCTGAATATTACAATCATTACACAAAAATCAATATCATTTATATATACCATTAAAATCAATTAGAATATGTGATTTTAGAAACTCATTTAATAGAGAAAAAAATCTATATATCTAGAAATAAATATCACAAAAGTCATTCTTTTTTTTTTGAGGAAATCTTATATCTTTACTGAAGATAAACCTAAGTAAATGGAGAGAAATACATACAGTGTTGTGGGTAGAAAGACAACATAGAAAATGTTTCTATTTTGCCCAAATTTATTAATAAATTCAATACTATTCTAATAAATCTAAAAGTGCTTTTCTTAGAACTTATGAAGAATGAAAGAGTGAAGGGCAAAGATCAGTCAAGACAAACTTAAAGGCGAAGAAAAAAAGGAAATGGAGTATATATTTGCCCCACCAGATTTCAATACTTATAAAACTATTATAATTAAAACAGTGAATACTGGTACTAGATTAGGTTAATAGGCCAAATTGAATAGGATAAAAAATCCAGAAAAAGTTCCATGTTTATAAAACTTGTAGAAGGATAAGTTTTCACTATAAATTAGTGGAGAAAAGTTGACTATTACATATATGGTGCTCAGATAAAATCACTGTTTTTATGGAAAACAGTAAAATAATATTCCCAGCTTATACTTTATTTACACAAAAATTCCAGATGTATTAAATGCAAATATTAAGAAAACCAAAATTCTAAAGCTTCCATGAGAAAAATAGAAGATAATCTTTATAACATCAGAATAATGAAAACTTTCTTAAATAAGACACAAATGTACAAACCACAAATGAAAATACTGCTTAATTTCTTTGTGACAGAAGACATCATTGAGTGTGAAGAAAGTCACAGGTTTTGGAGAAGATATTTGCTAGGAATAGATCTGATAAAGGTTTAGAATCCAAAACACATAAACAAAATCTACACCTTCATTAAAAGAAGGATATCTCTATCTATCTATCTATCTATCTATCTATCTATCTATCTATCTATCATCTGTCTATCATCTATCATCATGTATATCATCTATCTAATCTTGCCATCCATCCATCTATCCATCCATCCATCCATCCATCCATCCATCCATGAATCAATCCATTCTTCCACCTCCTTACCTATGATTTGGGGAAGAAGGCTGAATAAACACATGAAAATATGTTCAGCCTCACTGATTGTTCCAGTCAGGATCCACTCAGGAGACAATAACAATACCAATAATTTTAACAGGAAAACTTTAACGTAAAGAATTAACTAGTAAAAAGTGGTTAACTACTAAAAGAAGTTAAAAAGGACCCTTAAGGATACAGAAGTAACAAATACAGAAAATAGCTACTACTTCTAGGCTGCAGGGGAATAAACAAGAAAGGAATTAAGAATTTAGAATACTCTGGTATCCCCCTCCCCTAAATCTACCAGTGGGAAGAAGAAACTCACCAGAAGGCATGGGCTGGAATTGGCCCATAGGTGCCTCCAGCCAGTTGGCTGAGAAACTTGCCAGAGGGCATGGGCATGTTGGAGAAGGACCATGCATACCGCTGAGGTGGATTTGCTACCAGGCCTCTTGCACATCAATTTGTCGGCTACTATGCTGAACAGGAAAAGCACTATGGATTGGGGAAAGGAAACCCCTTTATGCTATGGTTTTGCACTTCATTCAGTGGCCTCTGTTGACAGGGACTAACATAAAAGGACAGATGTTTATGGAGTCTTGTTCCAGTATGACAGAACAGGACAAAGAAGGGCGGATTTGGAGCCCAAGAATCAGTAAATTGATAGCTTTAATCAAATTAACACTGTTAATCAGAAAAATGCAAACAGAAGAACAAGAGGATATCTATGACAAAAATTAAACAAGTGATAATACCAAGTATGTGAGTAAGAACAATCATACATTTCTGGTGATAATGAAATCAACAAAGCTATCTTGAATAGCAATTTGACAACCTTGAGCAAAGCTGAAGATGTGTATATTTTATAGCTAGCAATGCTACTTCTAGGTACATACAAGGGAAGAAATCTGGCACATGAGCACAAGGAGATGTGTATGAGGATATTTATCACAGATTTATTTTTAATGGACAAATATTGTACACAACCTAAATGTCTATTGATAGGCACATTATACAATAAATTGTGACTATTCCATTGGTATTTTAACTATGCAGCAGTTTGTAAAAATGAATTAGACCTACAGGTATCAACATTGATAATTCTCAAAAACAATGTTGAGTGAAAAATGGAAAGTTACGTAAGGCTTTTTTATTATGAGACCATTTATATAAATTTTGATAACAGATAAAATAACACTCAGTATCAGGGATCAATAAAGTATCCCATAGAGGGCCTGATAATGTTTTGGGCTTTGCAGCCCACATAGATTATTCTTTGTTTCAAGATTTTAAAAATATAAATCTATGCTGACTTATGGGCCATATGAAACAGGCCATGGCTGGATTTGGCACACAGGTTATAATTTGCCATCATCTGCTTTCTATTGTTTATGCAAACGTAAGTATATAGATGGTAAGGCTGTATAACAACTTCACAGTGGTGGCAACTTCTCAGAAGGCAGGGAGAAAATCTGACTGGGAAATTATGATAGAATATTAATATTTTCTGGCTTTGGGAAGTGAGTACATACATATCTCCTGTTATTTTTCTCTTTATTTTTACGTATATTTAATGTATTTCATAATTAAACATCATTTGAAAACAGTATAATAAAAACCATGGGCATGTATAATTTGCAGATTAAGACTAGTAAATTGCAGGTATTGTCTAGTTGACTTAAGCAATAGAATTATTTTCTAATTAATTTTTAGTATTATTAATATTTTTTCTCCAAATGATTTTTACTATTTTTTTCTTCTTCTATTTTTATTTTGCATTGCAGTGGTACATGTATAGGTTTGTTACATGGATAAAGTGCATGTCTCTGAGGCTTGGTGTATAAATGATCCTATTACCCAGGTAGTGAGCATAGTAGTCAATAGCCTTCCAAACCATGTCCCCCTTATAACCTCCCCTCTTAAGTAATTCCCAGTGTCTATTGTTCTCATCTTTGTGTCCATGTGTATTCAATGTTTAACTCCCACTTATAAGTGAGAACATGCAGTACTTGGTTTTCTGTTTCTGTGTTTGCTTAGAATTATGGCTTCCAGATACGTTCATGTTGCTGAAAAGAACATGATTTTGTTCTTATTTATGGCTGTGGAGTATTTTATAGTGTATGTGTACCACTTTTTCTTTATCCAGTCCACTATTGATAGGAAGCCAGGTTGATTTCAAATCTTTGCTATTGTAAATAGTGCTGTGATGAACATACGAATGTGTGTGTCTTTTTGATAGAACAATTTATTCTCTTTTGGGTATATACCCAGTAGTAGGATGGCTGGGCTGAATGGTAGTTTTAAGTTCTTTGAGAAATCTCTAAACTGCTTTCTACAGTGGCTGAACTAATTTACATTCTCACCAACAGTGTATAAGTGTACACTTTTCTCCACAACTTCACCAGCATCTGTTGCTTTTTGACTTTTAATAATTGCTATTCTGACTGATGTGAGGTGGTATCTTGTGGTTTTGATCTGCATTTCTCTAATGATTAGTAATGATGAGCATTTTTTCATATATTTGTTTGCTGCATGTATGTCTTCTTTTTAGAAGTGTCTGTTCATGTCCTTTGCCCATTTTTTAATGGGGTTGTTGGTTTTTTGTTTGTTGAATTAAGTTTCTTATAGGTTCCAGATATTAGACATTTGTTGGTTACATAGTTTGTGGACATTTTCACCCACTCTGTAGGTTGTCTGTTTAATGTGCCGATAGTTTATTTTTCTGTGCAGAAACTAGTTGGATTAGGTTTCGCTTGTCAATTATTGTTTTGTTGCAACCACTTTTGGAGACTTAGTCATAAATTATTTGCCAAGGATGATGTCTATGATGGTATTTCTTACATTTTCTTCTAGGGTTTTTTGTTGTTTTAGGTCTTTAAGCTAATTTTTGTATATGATAAAAGGAAAGGGAACTGTTCCAATCTGCATATGCTAGCCTGTTGATATAACATTTCAATAAATTCACTGTTTACTGACTAGTGAATTATTTCTCTCATTGTTTGTTATTATCAATTTTGTTGAAGATCAGGTAGTTGTAGGTAAGTGGCTTAATTTCTGGGTTCCTAATTCTGTTCCATTGCTCTATGTGTCTGTTGTCATACCTGTAGCCTGTTTTGGTTACTGTTGTCTTGTAGTATACTTTGAAGTTCAGTAGTGAGATATCTCTGGCTTTGTACTTTTTGCTTAGGATTGTTTGGGTGATTTGGGCTCCTTTTTGGTTCCATATGAATTTTAGAATAGTTTTTTTCTACTTCTGTGAAAAGTGACATTGGTAGTTTGATAGGAATAGCATTGAATCTATAAATTGGTTTGAACAGAGTGGCCATTTTAACAATATTGACTCTTCCTATCCATGAACATGGGATGTTTTTCCGTTTGTTTGTATTGTCTCTGATTTCTTTCAGCAATGTTTTGTAATTCTTGTTGTAGAGATTTTTCACCTCCTTGGTAAAATGTATTCCTAGGCATTTTATTCTTGATTTGGCTCTTGACTTGGTTGTTATTGGTGTATAGAAATGCTACTGATTTTTTTTTTTGCCTTATTCTTAGAGTAAATTTTTATTAAAAACCTATTTTCATATTCAAATCAATTGATGAATATTCTTTTTAGTTAGAAAAGATGCTTGTATGTAAGTATTTTTTCTTAGGGAGTATGCATGTCTGGCTTTATTCCCTGAATTGATTTAGAAGGCTTTGCCTGTTTTGGAAGGTCTACTGCCTTGAATCTGGGTAAATCTGAGATGTTCTCAGACCATCTGTAATCACATTGGTGGAACAGGTTATGTTTTTTAAAAGTAGCACTCCGGTGATTCTTGCTCACAGCGCTTCATAGCTAAGACTACAGATTTTCTTCTCTTGACTTCTCGGACATGCTAGGAAAGCCAACTTGCTTTAGTGGGTTCAGAAACCCTGATTCTGTGACATTGGGGAAAATATTGACTATATTTGAGGCTCAATTCTTATTCTGTAAAGTAAGATGTTGAGTGAGATGTTCTTTGAGTTCCCTTTAAATTATATAAACATTGTAAAGAGCTGATTAAGCTGACTTTTTTTTTTAAATTATACTTTAAGTTTTAGGGTACATGTGCACATTGTGCAGGTTAGTTACATATGTATACATGTGCCATGCTGGTGCGCTGCACCCACTAACTCGTCATCTAGCATTAGGTATATCTCCCAATGCTATCCCTCCCCACTCCCCCCACCCCACCACAGTCCCCAGAGTGTGATATTCCCCTTCCTGTGTCCATGTGATCTCATTGTTCAATTCCCACCTATGAGTGAGAACATGCGGTGTTTGGTTTTTTGTCCTTGCCATAGTTTGCTGAGAATGATGGTTTCCAGCTTCATCCATGTCCCTACAAAGGACATGAACTCATCATTTTTTATGGCTGCCTAGTATTCCATGGTGTATATGTGCCACATTTTCTTAATCCAGTCTATCATTGTTGGACATTTGGGTTGGTTCCAAGTCTTTGCTATTGTGAATAATGCCGCAATAAACATACGTGTGCATGTGTCTTTATAGCAGCATGATTTAGAGTCATTTGGGTATATACCCAGTAATGGGATGGCTGGGTCAAATGGTATTTCTAGTTCTAGATCCCTGAGGAATCGCCACACTGACTTCCACAATGGTTGAACTAGTTTACAGTCCCACCAACAGTGTAAAAGTGTTCCTATTTCTCCACATCCTCTCCAGCACCTGTTGTTTCCTGACTTTTTAATGATTGCCATTCTAACTGGTGTGAGATGATATCTCATAGTGGTTTTGATTTGCATTTCTCTGATGGCCAGTGATGATGAGCATTTTTTCATGTGTTTTTTGGCTGCATAAATGTCTTCTTTTGAGAAGTGTCTGTTCATGTCCTTCGCCCACTTTTTGATGGGGTTGTTTGTTTTTTTCTTGTAAATTTATTTGAGTTCATTGTAGATTCTGGATATTAGCCCTTTGTCAGATGAGTAGGTTGCGAAAATTTTCTCCCATGTTGTAGGTTGCCTGTTCACTCTGATGGTAGTTTCTTTTGCTGTGCAGAAGCTCCTGAGTTTAATTAGATCCCATTTGTCAATTTTGGCTTTTGTTGCCATTGCTTTTGGTGTTTTGGACATGAAGTCCTTGCCAACGCCTATGTCCTGAATGGTAATGCCTAGGTTTTCTGCTAGGGTTTTTATGGTTTTAGGTCTAACGTTTAAATCTTTAATCCATCTTGAATTGATTTTTGTATAAGGTGTAAGGAAGGGATCCAGTTTCAGCTTTCTACATATGGCTAGCCAGTTTTCCCAGCACCATTTATTAAATAGGGAATCCTTTCCCCATTGCTTGTTTTTCTCAGGTTTGTCAAAGATCAGATAGTTGTAGGTATGCGGCGTTATTTCTGAGGGCTCTGTTCTGTTCCATTGATCTATATCTCTGTTTTGGTACCAGTACCATGCTGTTTTGGTTACTGTAGCCTTGTAGTATAGTTTGAAGTCAGGTAGCGTGATGCCTCCAGCTTTGTTCTTTTGGCTTAGGATTGACTTGGCGATGCGGGCTCTTTTTTGGTTCCATATGAACTTTAAAGTAGTTTTTTCCAATTCTGTGAAGAAAGTCATTGGTACCTTGATGGGGATGGCATTGAATCTGTAAATTACCTTGGGCAGTATGGCCATTTTCACGATATTGATTCTTCCTACCCATGAGCCTGGAATGTTCTTCCATTTATTTGTGTCCTCTTTTATTTCCTTGAGCAGTGTTTTGTAGTTCTCCTTGAAGAGGTCCTTCACATCCCTTGTAAGTTGGATTCCTAGGTATTTTATTCTCTTTGAAGCAATTGTGAATGGGAGTTCACTCATGATTTGGCTCTCTGTTTGTCTGTTGTTGGTGTATAAGAATGCTTGTGATTTTTGTACATTGATTTTGTATCCTGAGACTTTGCTGAAGTTGCTTATCAGCTTAAGGAGATTTTGGGCTGAGATGATGGGGTTTTCTAGATAAACAATCATGTCGTCTGCAAACAGGGACAATTTGACTTCCTCTTTTCCTAATCGAATACCCTTTATTTCCTTCTCCTGCCTGATTGCCCTGGCCAGAACTTCCAACACTATGTTGAATAGGAGCGGTGAGAGAGGGCATCCCTGTCTTGTGCCAGTTTTCAAAGGGAATGCTTCCAGTTTTTGCCCATTCAGGATGATATTGGCTGTGGGTTTGTCATAGATAGCTCTTATTATTTTGAAATACGTCCCATCAATACCTAATTTATTGAGAGTTTTTAGCATGAAGGGTTGTTGAATTTTGTCAAAGGCTTTTTCTGCATCTATTGAGATAATCATGTGGTTTTTGTCTTTGGCTCTGTTTATATGCTGGATTACATTTATTGATTTGCGTATATTGAACCAGCCTTGCATCCCAGGGATGAAGCCCACTTGATCATGGTGGATAAGCTTTTTGATGTGCTGCTGGATTCATTTTGCCAGTATTTTATTGAGGATTTTTGCATCAATGTTCATCAAGGATATTGGTTTAAAATGCTCTTTTTTGGTTGTGTCTCTGCCCGGCTTTGGTATCAGAATGATGCTGGCCTCATAAAATGAGTTAGGGAGGATTCCCTCTTTTTCTATTGATTGGAATAGTTTCAGAAGGAATGGTACCAATTCCTCCTTGTACCTCTGGTAGAATTCGGCTGTGAATCCATCTGGTCCTGGACTCTTTTTGGTTGGTAAGCTATTGATTATTGCCACAATTTCAGCTCCTGTTATTGCTCTATTCAGAGATTCAACTTCTTCCTGGTTTAGTCTTGGGAGAGTGTATGTGTCGAGGAATGTATCCATTTCTTCTAGATTTTCTAGTTTATTTGCGTAGAGGTGTTTGTAGTATTCTCTGATGGTAGTTTGTATTTCTGTGGGATCGGTGGTGATATCCACTTTATCATTTTTTATTTTGTCTATTTGATTCTTCTCTCTTTTTTTCTTTATTAGTCTTGCTAGCGGTCTATCAATTTTGTTGATCCTTTCAAAAAACCAGCTCCTGGATTCATTGATTTTTTGAAGGGTTTTATGTGTCTCTATTTCCTTCAGTTCTGCTCTGATTTTAGTTATTTCTTGCCTTCTGCTAGCTTTTGAATGTGTTTGCACTTGCTTTTCTAGTTCTTTTAATTGTGATGTTAGGGTATCAATTTTGGATCTTTCCTGCTTTCTCTGGTAGGCATTTAGTGCTATAAATTTCCCTCTACACACTGCTTTGAATGCGTCCCAGAGATTCTGGTATGTTGTGTCTTTGTTCTCATTGGTTTCAAAGAACATCTTTATTTCTGCCTTCATTTTGTTATTTACCCAGTAGTCATTCAGGAGCAGGTTGTTCAGTTTCCATGTAGTTGAGCGGCTTTGAGTGAGATTCTTAATCCTGAGTTCTAGTTTGATTGCACTGTGGTCTGAGAGATAGTTTGTTATAATTTCTGTTCTTTTACATTTGCTGAGGAGAGCTTTACTTCCAACTATGTGGTCAATTTTGGAATAGGTGTGGTGCGGTGCTGAAAAAAATGTATATTCTGTTGATTTGGGGTGGAGAGTTCTGTAGATGTCTATTAGGTCCGCTTGGTGCAGAGCTGAGTTCAATTCCTGGGTATCGTTGTTGACTTTCTGTCTCGTTGATCTGTCTAATGTTGACAGTGGGGTGTTAAAGTCTCCCATTATTAATGTGTGGGAGTCTAAGTCTCTTTGTAGGTCACTCAGGACTTGCTTTATGAATCTGGGTGCTCCTGTATTGGGTGCACAAATATTTAGGGTAGTTAGCTCCTCTTGTTGAATTGATCCCTTTACCATTATGTAATGGCCTTCTTTGTCTCTTTTGATCCTTGTTGGTTTAAAGTCTGTTTTATCAGAGACTAGGATTGCAACCCCTGCCTTTTTTTGTTTTCCATTGGCTTGGCAGATCTTCCTCCATCCTTTTATTTTGAGCCTATGTGTGACTCTGCACATGAGATGGGTTTCCTGAATGCAGCACACTGATGGGTCTTGACTCTTTATCCAACTTGCCAGTCTGTGTCTTTTAATTGGAGAATTTAGTCCATTTATATTTAAAGTTAATATTGTTATGTGTGAATTTGATCCTGTCATTATGATGTTAGCTGGTGATTTTGCTCGTTAGTTGATACAGTTTCTTCCTAGTCTCGATGGTCTTTACATTTTGGCATGATTTTGCAGCGGCTGGTACTGGTTGTTCCTTTCCATGTTTAGCGCTTCCTTCAGGAGCTCTTTTAGGGCAGGCCTGGTGGTGACAAAATCTCTCAGCATTTGCTTGTCTATAAAGTATTTTATTTCTCCTTCACTTATGAAGCTTAGTTTGGCTGGATATGAAATTCTGGGTTGAAAATTCTTTTCTTTAAGAATGTTGAATATTGGCCCCCACTCTCTTCTGGCTTGTAGGGTTTCTGCTGAGAGATTCGCTGTTAGTCTGATGGGCTTCCCTTTGAGGGTAACCCCACCTTTCTCTCTGGCTGCCCTTAACATTTTTTCCTTCATTTCAACTTTGGTGAATCTGACAATTATGTGTCTTGGAGTTGCTCTTCTCGAGGAGTATCTTTGTGGCGTTCTCTGTATTTCCTGAATCTGAACGTTGGCCTTCCTTGCTAGATTGGGGAAGTTCTCCTGGATAATATCCTGCAGAGTCTTTTCCAACTTGGTTCCATTCTCCACATCACTTTCAGGTACACCTATCAGACGTAGATTTGGTCTTTTCACATAGTCCCATATTTCTTGGAGGCTTTGCTCATTTCTTTTTATTCTTTTTTCTCTAAACTTCCCTTCTCGCTTCATTTCATTCATTTCATCTTCCATTGCTGATGCCCTTTCTTCCAGTTGATCGCATCGGCTCCTGAGGCTTCTGCATTCTTCACATAGTTCTCGAGCCTTGGTTTTCAGCTCCATCAGCTCCTTTAAGCACTTCTCTGTATTGGTTATTCTAGTTATACATTCTTCTAAATTTTTTTCAAAGTTTTCAACTTCTTTGCCTTTGGTTTGAATGTCCTCCCGTAGCTCAGAGTAATTTGATCGTCTGAAGCCTTCTTCTCTCAGCTCGTCAAAGTCATTCTCCATCCAGCTTTGTTCCGTTGCTGGTGAGGAACTGCGTTCCTTTGGAGGAGGAGAGGCGCTCTGCGTTTTAGAGTTTCCAGTTTTTCTGTTCTGTTTTTTCCCCATCTTTGTGGTTTTATCTACGTTTGGTCTTTGATGATGGTGATGTACAGTTGGGTTTTCGGTGTGGATGTCCTTTCTGTTTGTTAGTTTTCCTTCTAACAGACAGGACCCTCAGCTGCAGGTCTGTTGGAATACCCTGCCGTGTGAGGTGTCAGTGTGCCCCTGCTGGGGGGTGCCTCCCAGTTAGGCTGCTCGGGGGTCAGGGGTCAGGGACCCACTTGAGGAGGCAGTCTGCCAGTTCTCAGATCTCCAGCTGCGTGCTGGGAGAACCACTGCTCTCTTCCAAGCTGTCAGACAGGGACACTTAAGTCTGCCGAGGTTACTGGTGTCTTTTTGTTTTTCTGTGCCCTGCCCCCAGAGGTGGAGCCTACAGAGGCAGGCAGGCCTCCTTGAGCTGTGGTGGGCTCCACCCAGTTGGAACTTCTGGGCTGCTTTGTTTACCTAAGCAAGCCTGGGCAATGGCGGGCGCCCCTCCCCCAGCCTCGCTGCCGCCTTGCAGTTTGATCTCAGACTGCTGTGCTAGCAATCAGCGAGATTCCATGGGCGTAGGACCCTCTGAGCCAGGTGTGGGATATAGTCTCGTGGTGCGCCGTTTTTTAAGCCGGTCTGAAAAGCACAATATTCGGGTGGGAGTGACCCGATTTTCCAGGTGCGTCCATTACCCCTTTCTTTGACTCGGAAAGGGAACTCCCTGACCCCTTGCACTTCTCAGGTGAGGCAATGCCTCGCCCTGCTTTGGCTCGCCCACAGTGTGCGCACCCACTGGCCTGCGCCCACTGTCTGGCACTCCCTAGTGAGATGAACCCGGTACCTCAGATGGAAATGCAGAAATCACCCGTCTTCTGCGTCGCTCACGCTGGGAGCTGTAGACCGGAGCTGTTCCTATTTGGCCATCTTCGCTACTGATTTTTGTACATTGATTTTGTATCCTGAAACTTTACAAGGTTCAGGTTTATAGATTTTTGTCATTTATCAGATCTAGATGTCTTCCGGTGGAGTCTATGGGGTTTTTCTAGGCGTAGAAATCATACTGTCTGCAAACAGAGATAGTTTGACAGCCTCCCTTCCTATTTAGATAGTTTTTATTTCTTTCTCTCACTTGAGTGCTCTAGCAGGGAATTCCAGTACTATGTTGAACAGGAGTAATGAGAATGGACATACTTGTCTTATTCCAGTTCTCAAGGGAAATGCTTCCAGCTTTTGCCTGTTCAGTGCAGTGTTGGCTGTGGCTTTGTTATATATGGCTCTAACTATTTTGAGGTATGTTCCTTCAATGCCTGATTTGTTGAGAGTTTTTACCATGAAGGGACATTGAATTTTACCAAAAGCCATTTCTACATGTCTTGAGATAATTATGTGGTTTTTTAAATTTTAATTCTGTTTGTGTGGTGAATCACATTTATTGATTTGTATATGTTGAACCAAAAGCCTACTTGGTCATGGTGAATTAACGTTTTTTTTTGTGCTGCTGGATTCAGTTTGCTATTGTTTTGTTTAGAAATTTTGCATCTATATTTATCTGGAATAGTGACCAACAGTTTTGTTTTTTTCCACTGTGTCTCTGACAGGTTTTGGTATCAGAATGTTGCTATTTTCATAGAATGAGCTGAGGAGTCCCACCTCCTTGACTTTTTTTGGAATAATTTCAGTAAGATTGGTACTAGCTCTTTTTTTTTTTTTTTTTTTACACCTGGTAGAATTTGTCTGTGAACCCATCTGGTCCAGGACTTTTTTTTTTTTTTGGTAGGCCTTTTGTAACTGATTAATTTTATAGCTCATTATTGGTCTGTTCAGGATTTCATTTTCTTCCTGGTTCAATCTTGGGAGGCTGTGTGTTTCCAGGCATTTACCCTTTTCTTCTAGGTTTTATAGTTTGTATTTCATATTAGTCTCTAAGGTTGTTGTTATTTTTTGTTTTTTTGTTTTTTTTTTGTATTTCTGTGGGGTTGATTGCATTGACCCCTTTGTCATTTCTGATTGTGTTTATTTGGATCTTCTCTCTTTTTTCTTTACTAATCTAGCTAGCAGTCTATATACCTAGTTTAATCTTTCAAAAAACAACTTTTGGTTTTGCGGATTTTTTTGTATGCATTTTTGTATCTCAGTTTCATTTGGTTCAGCTCTAATTTTGATTATTTCTTTTTGTCTACTATCTTTGTGGTTGGTTTGCTCTTGTTTTTCTAGTTCCTCTAGGCATAACATTAGGTTGTTAATTTAGGATTTTTCTAACTTCTTGAGGTAGATATTTAGTGCTATAAACTTTCCTCTTAATACTGCTTTTGCTGTGTCTCAAGGATTCTGGTATGTTATGTCTCCGTTTTCATTAGGTTCAAATAATTTTTTTGATTTGTGCCTTAATTTTATTCTTTACCCAAAAGTCATTCAGGACCAAGTTGTTTAACTTCCATGTAATTGTATGGTTTTGACAGATCTTCTTGGTATTGATTTCTATTTTATTGTTCTGTGGTCAAAGAGTGTGATTGGTATGATTTTAATATTTTTGAATTTGTTGAGACTTGCTTTATGGCTGAGCATGTGGTTAATCTTAGAGTGCGTGCATGTGCAGATAAGAATGCATATTCTGTTGTGTTTGGATGGAGTGTTCTGTAGATGTCTTTCAAGTCTGATTCATCAATTGTACAGTTTAAGTCCTAGATATTTTTGGTTAGTTTTCTGCCTCAATAATCTGTCTAATGCTGTCAGTGGGATGTTGAAGTCCCCCATTGTTATTTTGTGATTGTCTAATGTCCTTGTAGATCTGTAAGAATTTGTTTTATGAATCTGGGTGCTCCAACATTGGGGGTATGTGTGTGTATTTCAGCCATTTCAATCTGGTTAAGAACCATTGCTGAGGAGCTAGTGTGATCACTTGAAGGTAAGAGGACACTTTGATTTTTAGAGTTGTCAGAGTTCTTGGACTAGTTCTATCTCATTTTTGAGGGCTGATGTTCCTTTATTCTTTGAAGTTACTGTCCTTTGGATAGGACTTTTTGTTTTTACGTTCTTTATTGCCCTCGAGTGTTTGACTGTGGTACAAGTTGGGTGTAGTTGAATACTTTTGTTTCTGGATTGTGTATACATATATAAATAGAGAGATATATGTATATATATTATATACATATAATATATATAGTGTATATTATATACATATAATATATATAGTGTATATTATATACATATTATATATAGTGTATATTATATACATATTTTATATATATATATATATAGAGAGAGAGAGAAAGAGAGAGAGAGAGAGAGAGAGAGACCCCAATAGACCCCCGGTGTGTGTATGTGTGTGCATATATATATATATATATATACACACACACATTTCCTGCATTTGCATGTGTATTAGTCCATTTTCATGCAGAAAGAGGTTTGATTGGACTTACAGATCCACATGGCTGGGGGGGGCCTCATAACCATGATTAAAGGCGAGGAGGAGCAAGTCATATCTTATGTGAAATGGCAGCACGCAAAGAGAGCTTGTGCAGAGAAACTCCCATTCTTTGAAACCATCAGATCTCATGAGACCCATTCACTATCACGAGAACAGCACGGCCCCCATGATTCAATCATCTCTCACTGGCTCCCTCCCACAACACAAGGAAATTATGGGAACTATAAGATGAGATTTGGGTGGGGACACAGAGCCAATCCATATCAGCAAGTTTTCTCTAGTGAAATTGAGAAAATTTTTGTGAACTGTATTCTCAGATATGTTTTCCAAGTTGTTTGTTCTCTCTCATTGTCTTTCAGGAATGCTGATGGGTCATAGATTTGGTCTTTTTACCTCTTTACACAGTCCCATTTTTCTCATAGGTTTTATTCGTTTTTTAAAATTGTACTTTTTTTTTCTGCTTGTGTTGCTTCAAAGGAGTGGACTTCAGCTTCTGAGATTCTTTCATCAGCTTGGTCTATTATGCTGTTAATTCTTCCAATTATATTTAAAAATTTCTGGAGTAAATTTTTCATTTCCAGAACTCAGTTTTGTTCTTTCTTCAAAAGGTTATGTCATCTTTCAACTTTTGGGTCATTTTACTGTTTTCCTCAGATTGGGTTTTAACTTTCTCTTATATCTTGATGAACTACCTGGCCATCCAGATTCTGCATTATATGTCTGAATTTTCAGACATTTCAATCTGGTTAAGAACAATTGCTGGGGAGCTAGTGTGATCATTTGAAGGTAAGAAGACACTTTGGATTTTAGAGTTGTCAGAGTTCTTGCACTGGTTCTTTCTCATTTGTGTGGGTTGATGTTCCTTTATCCTTTGAAGTTACTGTTCTTTGGATAGGGCTTTTTGTTTTTATGTTCTTTATTCCCCTTAAATATTTGACTGTGGTACAAGTTGGGTATAGTTGAATACTTTTGTTTCTGGATGCTTTCAGAGGGCCAAGGCTTAGCTCTGCACTCCTAGGCTGTATGCTCTAACCCTGGGTGGCTGGGACCAGGCCCATGGCTTTGTGTTCTTGTCTCTCGAGGTTTAGCCCCAGCTGGGATGGAGGGGCCAAGGTCCTGCCAGACCACTGGCAACAGTGGTCTATCAGGGGTGGCAGAGGCACTGTGTGAAAAAATTGCTCTGGCAGGGGCAACAGGGGCCTTGCAGATGACAAGCACGGTGGTAGGGAGGTTGCAGAGTCGCAGGCAAACACACTCTGGTGGGAGTGGGTGGAAGTCTCTGGAGAAAGTGCTATGGTGGTAGCCACTGGCAAAAGCACTCTGGTGGAGTAGCTGAGGCTATGCTGCCTTTAATATTACTTATATAAATACATATATTTAAAATTAAAGCTGCATGTTTTATTTGTAATTTCAGTTTGTGCTTGTGTTTCATAACATTTAGAAAGATATAAAAGACAAGCTATTTAAGACAATAAAACATGAAGTAGTAATTACATGAGGTTTAGAGATAAAATTTTTTGAGGTAGATATTGCCTTTGAAATGGAAAAAATGAGGAAGGCATAATTTTAGGGAAACCAGTCTTTTAAAATGATGGGTTTACATTTTGGGACATGAGGTCCAAAACCAATGCTCACATCATGAATTTGTAGGATAAGGAATTTGTTTCAATTCTTAAATTCTCACAGGGAAGCAGCAATAGTTAAGACTAAACTTCATGACAGATTTTAGCTAATTGGTAGTAGCTGTGTGCATTTAAAAATACCTTGGGACTCAGTTGTTTCTGTTGTTGATTTGGTAATGATAAAATTCTTGTCACAGAGAGCAATGCTCTACAGAAATGCCAAGGTGATAGCCATATTCTCTTTTCAAATGGGTGGAATTCTTAGGTTTCTATTATGTCTTCATTGAAGGTCACAGAGCATCTCTCCCTTATGTGCAATGTAACATAGTCTAACATTAAAAATGAGTAGTCTTCTTTTAATTTTAATTTACCTAACATTTTATTCCAATATCTTTTTTGGAAGTCATTTTAAATGTGATTCAAAAAATAATGACCAAACCAAAAATAGAGATCATTACACAAAGGCTAGTACATGTTTAAGGAGGTCAAAAGCTCTTTAAAAACATTAATTAAAAATTGTTGCTCTCTAGATAAGTAAATAAATATTATTTTTCTTCTGGAGGAGTAATCTTGACCAAGTAGAGGGTTGTGCTGGTTGGAACCTTAGCTCAAAGTCAAATGGTGAGTCATTACCTAGGATGCACAGAAAACTCAAGGTTCTTTTTCCTGTTCTCTTGCTAGGCTACTACACAACTAAGTCTCTAAGTGCTAATTAAGTAAACGAATCAAAAAATTCAAATAAAAAACAAGCAAAGAAACACAAAGATGAATGAACTCTAGAACTATGATGTTAAACTTTATAAAGCATTTACTTTATCATAAGTAAGGATATTCACCAAGTTTAACCATAATTTTCTTATTACCCCTAGCTTTGATTTACTTGAGCGTAGTTCAATGATGATGGTTGTTGCTAAGTAACTTTTAGGCATTCTTAGTTTATAACACGACACATATAAAATATCTTTAGCTTTGGGGGAAAATGCTCTAGAAATATGAAGTTCATTTATGATGATGAAGCGGGTAATACAGCTACCAATGTAAATGTATGGCTCATTAAGAGCATGTGCACGGTTATGTTCACAGTAAAGTAAAAGCCATTCTTAATAATGAAGTTTACCAATTTGCATAAACTTGAAAAATATGGTTTCTTAGAACATTTTAAAATGCAGATCATCACATTTCAGAAGAAAATGGTGATTTTTTTCAGGTTTTATGATATACAGTCAATAATCATTCAGCAATATTGCAACTCAGGGATATATATAAGAAGTCTGTTTAAAAATTATAGGGTTTGCAACATAGAAAAAGGAAAATATTAATAAAACATTTTTGGTTGGCAATGGAAGATTTCATGAGACTGATAACTGATGATCACCCTCTAAAGTTGATGAGCCAGATGAGTTGATTATTAATGCATTAAATATTAAATCAATAGGTTTTCATGTAGGGGCTTCATTCGGGGTTTGTTTTCCTAAATATGTGTTACTACTGCTCCAACCAATTTTAAAACAAACCCTAAAATTCAAAGAGTAAATCCAAGAAAAGCGTCTGTGTTAGAGTACAATTTAACAGATTTCCCTTGGTAATCAATTTCATGGAATATTGCTGGGCTGGCATATTTGTTCTTCTAGTACTCCTGAGAATATTGGAAAGACAGGAAAGCTACACTTAGTGAATGGTTATAATAATAAGTTTAATTAAGATAAAACAACATTAATTAAATGGTTTGGCTATGACGTTGGCAACAACTCTTCCTTTATCCTGCCAAAATCGTAATCTCATGAGGGTGTCTGTCAGCTAGCTTAGAATAGCTGAATGTGGGGAGTTTTCCTTTCAGGCTTCCTTGAGGAAGGTGTGCTTTCCTCTTGTTCAGGCAATTTTTCTATGTATTTAAGACAATCATTCCTAAACCTCTTGAGACTGGTAAAGTCCCACAGTTACCATCTCAACTTCATACCTATGTTGCTTATCTAAGACCTAGACTCATGTGACACTAAACATTTCACGATTTTTGCCACAGGATGGAGAGCTTCTTACTTTTGACCTGAAGTCTTCTGAAGACTTTTTATTGTATATGTCTAAAGTGTACCACATGATGTTTTGATATACACATAGTGAAATGGTCATTATAGATAGTTAAGCAAATTAACATATCCATCATCTCATATAGTTACCCTTTTATTGTGTGTGGCAAGAGTACCTAAAATCTACTCCTTTACCACTCTGAACATGACTTATCTCATCTGAAGTCCTTATTTTTATCCTCCCTCTCCCAGGGCTACATCCTGAATGTCTCTCACCCTAAACCTTTAGTAACTGGCTGAAAATGTTATTTAAAAGTGTGAGGGGGCATTTCCCCCTAACTAAACACCAGCCTCCTTTCCCTAAGGCACTTTCCATGGTGTTGGAAAATTAGGCTTCATGATTACTATTCACCCAAGTGCATTTTCTGTTTGAAGTGCTAAGAGGCCTTCAAATGTTCAAATATATCAGCTATGGGATATATGGGAGTGAAAAATGTCAGCCCCAATATTTTATTAAGGTTCTGATGGTTGGTGCACATAAACCTGTTCAAACTGTAATCTATGAACGGTTTGCAGAAGTGTAACTATCTTTACCTGTAGTATGAGCCAGAATTCACAAATGTAGATTCTAGATTTCTAAAGACACATGGAATTAAGTCCACATGCATTCTCATTTCAGGAATGCCTTCTATGAGACTGCTCAGAGATGGATCTTGTATTAGTCAGCCTTGCTGAAGTAACAAATAATCCCCAAACATATATTTCCTGTTTATTTTAATATTGATAGCTGTGGCCCTGCTCCACATATCTTATTCTAGGACCCAGGTGAAGAAGTAGCATAGATTTAGGACTTGTTGGTTTTGTGGCAGGGGGAAAAAGCAAGAGAGATATGTGAAAGTCATGATGCCTCTTAAACCTTAATTGTAGTATGAATCCTTGCTACTCAAAGTTGTCCCGATAGCTAGCAGCTTCAACATTATTTGGTAGCTTGTTAGATATACTGCAATGCATCTCAGGCCCCAATCTAGACCTACTGAATATGAATTTCATTTTAGCAGGATCTTCAGGTAATTTGTAAACACATTAAAGTTTCAGAAAAACTGGCATGTAAACAGGCCCTGACAATCATTGATCAAAGCACTTCACATGGACAAACCCCATATGGGTCAAGGAAGTACACACCCACAGAGAGATACTGCAAGTCACATGGCCCTTGGTAGGGATAAATAATCTTCTTTCAGGAAAGGAGCAAAACACTAGAAACTAAAATACAATCTACAGCCCCTAAAGCTTCTGCTTATGCCAAATGGAACTAGTTATTTATTGAGGCAACTCATTTTGATTATTGAACATATTTGTTAATTTAGTTTTACTTATTGATTCTACTTTGGTTTTCTGCAGTGAAGAAAACATCTACTTCCTAGTCTATGTAATGTTTATTCAATAATTTGAATGCAATCCCTGTGTCCTTCTTCATTTATCCAAGTATTATCCAAGTTAAACAGACTTTCTTTCTTCAGCATTATCAGTTTGTCTAGCGCATTATCCTGATATCCTTGCGTGGTAACCACCTACTCAGGTTGGAGATACTAGAATTGAATCTGATATTTTATTATCTGCCAAGCATAAAGAAGAATAGGGACATTTAATCTTTCTTGATCAGGATATAGTGTTTGTAATCTAAGTTTACCTTGGTGTGATGGTTAATATTAAGCGTCAACTTGACTGGATTGAGGGATACCTAGATGGCTAGTATTGTTTCTGGGTGTGTCTGTGAGGATGTTGCCAGAGGAGACTGACATTTGAGTCAGTGGACTGGGAGAGGAAGATTCACCCTCAGTGTGGCTGGGCACAATCTAATCAGCTGCCAGAGCTGCTAGAACAAAGCAGGCAGAAGAACTGGGGTAAGCAGCTTGCTAAAGCTTCTTGTTGTCTCTCTACCCATGCTGTGCCAAACACTTGGCTTCTTCTCCTGTCCTTGGTCATCGGACTCTAGGATCTTTGGCCTTTGACTCTGGGACTTGCACCAAAGGCCTCCTGGGGATTCTCAGGCTGTCGGCCCCTAACTGAAGGCTGCAGTGCTGGCTTTCCCAGTTTTGAGGCTTTTGGACTTGGACTGAGCCACACTACCAGCATTTCTCTTTCCCTAGCATGCAGACAGCCTATTGTGGGACTTTGCTTTGTAATCATGTGAGCCAATCCTCCCTAATAGACTCATATATATTGGTTCTGTCCCTCTGGAGAACCCTAACTAATACACTTTTTCTTTCGGTAGAGATGGGGATCTCACTGTATTGCCCAGGCTGGCCTTTAACTACTGCCCTCAAGTGATCCTCCTGCCTGGGTCTCCCAAAGCTCTGGGATTACATGCACAGCCACTGTACCGGGCCCTTGCCTTGGGTTTATAGCAGTTGTGTCATACTGTTAGCTCCTAGTATGATTGTGCTACCATCTTAGGACTTTTGAGCTGCTCTCAAACCTTCATTTTCCAGTCTGTATCCAACAAACTGATTAATTTAAATGAATATTAGGGCTTTACATTGATTCTTATAAATTAATCTTGTGATGTTGATTCATTCTTTTGGAAATTGAAGATTTCTAAGTTCTCAATTTCACTAGGTCATAAATTAAATATCCTACCCAGTGTCAGTTAATGCATGGACATATTAAAAGCCTGCATTTGGGGCAGAAGCATACCATGTATATGAAGATCTGAAACTCAGTAGATTTCTTGGTACTCTTTTTTTAAAAAAAGAATTTCAAAATACTTTATTTTTCCAAATCTCACAAAATCATTGTTAAGGCTCTGCTAAATGTTTTGAAAGTGACCCTTGGGTGTGAGGGGCCCTGAAAGTTAAGCATTATTAGTTTTATGATAATTCTTCCACTGAACATGGGATACAGTAAATGAGAAATTGAGGAGTTAAGTGTAACATAGGAGGATGACAATGCATTTATTAAAATGATAGCTCTTGAAATGGCAGCACAGGAGGAAGAATATGGGTACAGAGGATTGAAAATGAGTTAGCCATCAGTTGAAATTAGGAACCTGAGTGAAATGAGCAGTTGAAGTAGGATTAAAACCCTGTCCTCTCATATCTTTCAGATTGTGAACTAAAATGACAAACTCAGCAGGACCATTTGAAAATTCAGTCTGCAGGTACTAATTAATAAAACCAGTAGGAATATGTAATATACATGCACACACATAAAACCAATAGGAATATAACACACACACACACACACACACTTCCCTCACCTCTTTGATTCATTTAGAGTTCTCTTATTTATATCAACAAGCTTCCTGTCAAGCATATATTAGTTCTACTTCATACAAGACAATTTGTCTCTTGCCAAAAGTCCATTATTCCAATGCCTAAATTTTTATTAAAAAACACACATATTCTGTTTCCATTGCTTTCATTCCATTTATAATGAATTTTTTAGTAGATTAGCCAAGGATTTGCAGAAAAATAGAATCAATAGGATATGTGCCTATCTATCTATCTATCTGTCTATCTATCTATCTATCTATCTATCTATCTATCTATCTATCTATTTATCTGTCTGTCTCTATCGTTAACTCTATCTCTATTTATCTCTACCTTATCTATCTATCCAGAGAAACTTATTTTAGGGAATTGGCTAATGTGATACTGGAGGCTGACAAGTCCAAAATCTTCAGGTGTAGGGTGGCAGTCTGGAGATTCAGGGAAAAGTGGAAGCTGCATTTCAAGTCTGAAGGCTGACTGGGGGCACAATTCCTTCTTGGTTAGAAAAGGACACTCTTGTCTATTAAGGCCTTTAACTAATTGAATAATGCTCACTACATTATGGAGGGCAACTTACTTTACTCAAAATACAATTTAAATGTTAATCTTGTCTAAAAAAACACCCTCATCCAGAATACTGTTTGACCAAATATCTGAGCACTGTGGCCCAAAAAGTTGACATATACAATTAACCAGCATATTTACAATGGAAGAAGACTTGAAAAACATTTGTGTCCCCAAGTCATGTCTGCTACTCAGAACTTTGAAGCCTTGAGGGCCGTGTTCCACATTCTTTCCCAGATTTTCTCAGACTCCCTTTATGGAAAAGAACCCAAAGTTTTTCAGAGTTTCACAAGACTCTGAAATTTCCGTAATGTAGGGAGAGGTCATCTGGGGGAATCTTTTTTTTCTAGGGTTCATACCATGATACATATAAAGCCAAGTAATTAGTGGAAGACACTGAGACTACTCTGGTGTAACATTTCTGGTGATCTTTTGTCAATATTATGTTGAGAGGTCAAGGCATGTGTGTGAAAGTTCACCAAAGTGGGTGGAAAGCCTAAAATGCTTTCTTCTAATAATTTCATAGGTTCAAGTCTCAGATGTAAGTCTTTAACCATCTTGGTTTGATTTTTTTATATAATGAAAGATAAGGGTCTAGTTTCATTTTATGCATATGGCTATGCAGTTTTCTCATCACCATTTATTGAGGAGACTGTCTTTTTTCTCGTCTGTGTTCTTGGGACTTTGTCAAAAACGAGTTGGCTATAAATATGTAGATTTATTACTGGGTACTCTGTTTCTGTTCCATTTGTCTGTGTGTCTGTTTTTATGCCAGCACCATGTTGATTTCATTACTATAGCCTTATAATATATTTTGAAGTAAGGTAGTGTGATTCCTTCAGCTTTGTTGTGTTCCATATTATTTTGGCTATTTGGTGTCTTTGGCAGTTCCATAAAAGTTTTAATTTTTTTTCCTATTTCTATGAAGAATGTCATTGATATTTTCCTAGAGATTACATTGAATCTGTAAATTGCTTTGGGTTGTATTGTCATTTTAACAATATTAATTCTTCCAATTCACAAGCATGAAATATCTTTCCATTTTTCATGTGCTCTTCTTAATTTCTTTCATTAGTGTTTTTATAGATTTTCATGTATAGATCATTCTCTTCTTTGGTTAAATTGATTCCTAGGTACTTTATATTTTTTGTACCTATTATGAGGTTACTTTCTTGATTTTATTTCTTTTTGAGACAGAATTTTGCTCTGTCGCCCAAGTTAGAGTGCAATGGCATGATCTTAGCTCACAGCAACCTCCATCTCCCAGGTTCAAACGATTGTCCTGCCTCAGCCTCCCTAGTAGCTGAGATTACAAGCATGAACCACCATACCTGGTTATTTTTTTTTGTATTTTCAGTAGAGAATGTGGTTTCACCGTGTTGCCCAGGCTGGTCTCAATCTCAAATGATCTGCCTGTCTTGACCTCTCAAAGTGCTGGGATTACAGGCATGAGCCACTGTGTCTGGCAATCTTGATTTCTTTTTAAATTGTTTGCTGTTGACATACATAAATATTATTGATTTTTGTAAGTTGATTTTGTATCCTGAAACTTTACTGAATTTGTTTATCAGTTTTAATGATTTGTTTTTGGTGGAGTCTTTAGGTTTTTCTAAGTATGGAATTATTTTGTCTACAAAAAAGGCTAATTTGATTTTTCTTTTCCAACTTGGATGCCCTTTATTTTTTTTTCTTACCTAATTGCTCTGACCAAAACTTCCAGTATTATGTTGAATAAAAGTAGCAAAAGCGGGCATCCTTGTCTTGTTCCAGGTCTTAAAGGAAAGGCTTTCAATTTCTCTCCATTCAGTATGGTATTTGCTGTGGGTTTGTTATATGTGGCCTTTAATAGGTTGTGGTATGTTCCTTCTATGTATCATTTGTTGAAGATTTTTATCAAATAGGGATGAAAAATGCGTTGAATGCTTTTTCAGCATCTGCTGAAATGATTATATGGCTTATGTTCTTGGTTATGTTAATGTGATGTATCATGTTTATTGATTTGCATATGTTGAAACATCCTTGCATTCCTGGAATGAATCCCACCTGATCATGGGGAATGATCTTTTTAATATGTTGTTGGATTAAGTTGCTAGTATTTTGTTGGGGAGTTTTGCATCTATGTTCATCAGAAATATTGGCCTGAGGTTTTTGTTGTAGTTATTGTATCCTTGTCTTTTGATATCAGGGTAAGGCTGGCCTCATAGAATGAATTTGGAAGTATTTCCTCCTCTTCAATTGTTTCAAAGAGTTTGAGTAGAATTGGTAATATTTCTTCTTTAAATGTTTGGTAGAATTCAATGGTGAACCAATTTGGTCCTGAACTTTTATTTGATGAGAGACTTTTTACAACAGCTTCAATATTATTACTCATTAGTTTGTTGAGGTTTTCTATTTTTTCATGGTTTAATTTTGGAAAATTGTATGTGTTTAGGAATCTATTTCCTCTAAGTGTTCCAATTTTTTGTCATATAGTTGTTCATAATGGTATCTAATGAATCTTTGTATTGTTGTGGTCTCAGTTGTTACATCTTCTTTTTCATTTCTGATTGTATTTATTTGGGTCTCCTCTCTTTCTTTTTTAGTTAATCTAATTAAGGTTTATTGATTTTGCTTATCCTTTCAAAAAAAACCAACATTTGGTTTGGTATATCTTTTATATGGTTTTTTAGTCTTTGTTTCATTTATTTCTGCTCTGATCTTTATTATTTCTTTCCTTCTACTAACTTTGGTTTGGTTAGTCCTTGCTATTCTCATCCCTTGAGCAAATGGTTAGATAATTTATCTGAAGTCTTCCTATTTTTTTAATATACGCATTTATTGTTATAAACTTCCCTCTTAGTACAGTTTTTGCTGTATCCCATAGGTTTTTGTATGTTATATTTCTACTTTGATTTGTTTCAAGAAATTTTTAAACTTCCTTCCTAATTTCTTCATTGATCCATTACTCATTCAGGAGCAAGCTGTTTAATTGTCATTTGTTTATGTACTTTTTGAGGTTCCTCTTGTTATTGGTTTCTAGTTTTATGCCAGAGCGGTCAGAAAATTTACTTGATAGGATTTCTACTTTTTTGATTTTGTTATTTATTTTGCCATCTAACATATGGTCTATTCTAAAAAATGCTCCATGTGCTGATGAAAATAATGTGTACTTTGTAGCTACTGGGTGGAATGTTCTATAATTGTCAGCCCCATTAGAGCTAATGTGTAGTTTAATGTATTGCAGTCTATCTCTCTCTTTATATCTATTACTGTTTGCTTTATATATTTGGACCTCCAGTGTTGGGTGCATGAATATTTATAATTTATATCCTCTTGCTGAATTGACTCCTTTATCATTATATTGTGACCTTCTTTGTCTCTTTTTCAATTTTTGATGTGTAGTCTATTTTATCTGATATGAGTATAGCTACTTCTACTGTTACTCTTTTTTGGTTTCTAGTTGTATAGAATGTCTTTTTCCACCCCTTCACTTTCAGTCTATGTGTGCATTTATGGGTGAAGTAGGTTTCTTGTAGGTAGAATATATCTGAGTCTTGTTTATTGATTAAGCTACTATATGCCTTTGAATTAGTAGAGAATTGAGTCAATTTATATTCAGTTTTGTTATTGATAAGTAAGGACTTACTACTGCCATTTTGTTGCTTGTTTTCTTGTAACTCTTTTCTTCCTGTTTTACTGTCTTCTTTGGTGATTAGACGATTTTCTCGGGTAATATGTTTTAATTCTTTTTTTTTTTTCCTTTTTTTCTTCTTCTGTTTTTTTTTGGATTTATTTTGGAATTTTTTTTTTTTTTACTATACTTTAAGTTTTAGGGTACATGTGCACATTGTGCAGGTTAGTTACATATGTATACATGTGCCATGCTTGTGTGCTGCACCCACTAACTTGTCATCTAGCATTAGGTATATCTCCCAATGCTATCCCTCCCCGCTCCCCCGACCCCACAACAGTCCCCAGAGTGTGATATTCCCCTTCCTGTGTCCATGTGATCTCATTGTTCAATTCCCACCTATGAGTGAGAATATGTGGTGTTTGGTTTTTTGTTCTTGCGATAGTTTACTGAGAATGATGATTTCCAATTTCATCCATGTCCCTACAAAGGACATGAACTCATCATTTTTTATGGCTGCATAGTATTCCATGGTGTATATGTGCCACATTTTCTTAATCCAGTCTATCATTGTTGGACATTTGGGTTGGTTCCAAGTCTTTGCTATTGTGAATAATGCCACAATAAACATATGTGTGCATATGTCTTTATAGCAGCATGATTTATAGTCCTTTGGGTATATACCCAGTAATGGGATGGCTGGGTCAAATGGTATTTCTAGTTCTAGATCTCTGAGGAATCGCCACACCGACTTCCACAATGCTTGAACTAGTTTACAGTCCCACCAACAGTGTAAGTGTTCCTATTTCTCCACATCCTCTCCAGCACCTGTTGTTTCCTGACTTTTTAATGATTGCCATTCTAACTGGTGTAAGATGGTATCTCATTGTGCTTTTGATTTGCATTTCTCTGATGGCCAGTTATGTGATGAGCATTTTTTCATGTGTTTTTTGGCTGCATAAATATCTTCTTTTGAGAAGTGTCTGTTCATGTCCTTCACCCACTTTTTGATGGGGTTGTTTGTTTTTTTCTTGTAAATTTGTTTGAGTTCATTGTAGATTCTGGATATTAGCCCTTTGTCAGATGAGTAGGTTGCGAAAATTTTCTCCCATTTTGTAGGTTGCCTGTTCACTCTGATGGTAGTTCCTGTTGCTGTGCAGAAGCTCTTTAGTTTAATTAGATCCCATTTGTCAATTTTGTCTTTTGTTGCCATTGCTTTTGGTGTTTTAGACATGAAGTCCTTGCCCATGCCTATGTCCTGAATGGTAATGCCTAGGTTTTCTTCTAGGGTTTTTATGGTTTTAGGTCTAACATGTAAGTCTTTAATCCATCTTGAATTGATTTTTGTGTAAGGTCTAAGGAAGGGATCCAGTTTCAGCTTTCTACATATGGCTAGCCAGTTTTCCCAGCACCATTTATTAAATAGGGAATCCTTTCCCCATTGCTTGTTTTTCTCAGGTTTGTCAAAGATCAGATAGTTGTAGATATGCGGCATTATTTCTGAGGGCTCTGTTCTGTTCCATTGATCTATATCTCTGTTTTGGTACCAGTACCATGCTGTTTTGGTTACTGTAGCCTTGTAGTATAGTTTGAAGCCAGGTAGTGTGATGCCTCCAGCTTTGTTCTTTTGGCTTAGGATTGACTTGGCAATGCGGGCTCTTTTTTGGTTCCATATGAACTTTAAAGTAGTTTTTTCCAATTCTGTGAAGAAAGTCATTGGTACCTTGATGGGGATAACATTGAATCTGTAAATTACCTTGGGCAGTATGGCCATTTTCACGATATTGATTCTTCCTACCCATGAGCATGGAATGTTCTTCCATTTGTTTGTATCCTCTTTTATTTCCTTGAGCAGTGTTTTGTAGTTCTCCTTGAAGAGGTCCTTCACATCCCTTGTAAGTTGGATTCCTAGGTATTTTATTCTCTTTGAAGCAATTGTGAATGGGAGTTCACTCATGATTTGGCTCTCTGTTTGTCTGTTGTTGGTGTATAAGAATGCTTGTGATTTTTGTACATTGATTTTGTATCCTGAGACTTTGCTGAAGTTGCTTATCAGCTTAAGGAGATTTTGGGCTGAGACAATGGGGTTTTCTAGATATACAATCATGTCGTCTCCAAACAGGCACAATTTGACTTCCTCTTTTCCTAATCGAATACCCTTTATTTCCTTCTCCTGCCTGATTGCCCTGGCCAGAACTTCCAACACTATGTTGAATAGGAGTGGTGAGAGAGGGCATCCCTGTCTTGTGCCAGTTTTCAAAGGGAATGCTTCCAGTTTTTGCCCATTCAGGATGATATTGGCTGTGGGTTTGTCATAGATAGCTCTTATTATTTTGAAATACATCCGATCAATACCTAATTTATTGAGAGTTTTTAGCATGAAGGGTTGTTGAATTTTGTCAAAGGCTTTTTCTGCATCTATTGAGACAATCATGTGGTTTTTGTCTTTGGCTCTGTTTATATGCTGGATTACATTTATTGATTTTCATATATTGAACCAGCCTTGCATCCCAGGGATGAAGCCCACTTGATCATGGTGGATAAGCTTTTTGATGTGCTGCTGGATTCGTTTTGCCAGTATTTTATTGAGGATTTTTGCATCAATGTTCATCAAGGATATTGGTCTAAAATTCTCTTTTTTGGTTGTATCTCTGCCCGGCTTTGGTATCAGAATGATGCTGGCCTCATAAAATGAGTTAGGGAGGATTGCCTCTTTTTCTATTGATTGGAATAGTTTCAGAAAGAATGCTACCAGCTCCTCCTTACACCTCTGGTAGAATTCGACTGTGAATCCATCTGGTCCTGAACTCTTTTTGGTTGGTAAGCTATTGATTATTGCCACAATTTCAGATCCTGTTATTGGTCTATTCAGAGATTCAACTTCTTCCTGGTTTAGCCTTGGGAGAGTGTATGTGTCGAGGAATTTATCCATTTCTTCTAAATTTTCTAGTTTATTTGCATAGAGGTATTTGTAGTATTCTCTGATGGTAGTTTGTATTTCTGTGGGATCGGTGGTGATATCCCCTTTACCATTTTTTATTGCGTCTATTTGATTCTTCTCTCTTTTTTTCTTTATTGGTCTTGCTAGCGGTCTATCAATTTTGTTGATCCTTTCAAAAAACCAGCTCCTGGATTCATTAATTTTTTGAAGGGTCTTTTGTGTCTCTATTTCCTTCAGTTCTGCTCTGATTTTAGTTATTTCTTGCCTTCTGCTAGCTTTTGAATGTGTTTGCTCTTGCTTTTCTAGTTCTTTTAATTGTGGTGTTAGGGTGTCAATTTTGGATCTTTCCTGCTTTCTCTTGCGGGCATTTAGTGCTATAAATTTCCCTCCACACACTGCTTTGAATTTGTCCCAGAGATTCTGGTGTGTTGTGTCTTTGTTCTCGTTGGTTTCAAAGAACATCTTTATTTCTGCCTTCATTTCGTTATGTACCCAGTAGTCATTCAGGAGCAGGTTGTTCAGTTTCCATGTAGTTGAGCCGTTTTGAGTGAGATTCTTAATCCTGAGTTCTAGTTTGATTGCACTGTGGTCTGAGAGATAGTTTGTTATAATCTCTGTTCTTTTACATTTGCTGAGGAGAGCTCTACTTCCAAGTATGTGGTCAATTTTGGAATAGGTGTGGTGCGGTGCTGAAAAAAATGTATATTCTGTTGATTTGGGGTGGAGAGTTCTGTAGATGTCTATTAGGTCCGCTTGGTGCAGAGCTGAGTTCAATTCCTGGGTATCGTTGTTGACTTTCTGTCTCGTTGATCTGTCTAATGTTGACAGTGGGGTGTTAAAGTCTCCCATTATTAATGTGTGGGAGTCTAAGTCTCTTTGTAGGTCACTCAGGACTTGCTTTATGAATCTGGGTGCTCCTGTATTGGGTGCATATATATTTAGGATAGTTAGCTCCTCTTGTTTAATTGATCCCTTTACCATTATGTAATGGCCTTCTTTGTCTCTTTTGATCTTTGTTGGTTTAAAGTCTGTTTTATCAGAGACTAGGATTGCAACCCCTGCCTTTTTTTGTTTTCCATTTGCTTGGTAGATCTTCCTCCATCCTTTTATTTTGAGCCTATGTGTGTCTCTGCATGTGAGATGGGTTTCCTGAATACAGCACACTGATGGGTCTTCACTCTTTATCCAATTTGCCCGTCTGTGTCTTTTAATTGGAGCATTTAGTCCATTTACATTTAAAGTTAATATGTTATGTGTGAATTTGATCCTGTCATTATGATGTTAGCTGGTTATTTTGCTGGTTAGTTGATGCAGTTTCTTCCTAGTCTCGATGGTCTTTACATTTTGGCATGATTTTGCAGCGGCTGGTACCGGTTGTTCCTTTCCATGTTTAGTGCTTCCTTCAGGAGCTCTTTTAGGGCAGGCCTGGTGGTGACAAAATCTCTCAGCATTTGCTTGTCTGTAAAGGATTTTATTTCTCTTTTGCTTATGAAGCTTACTTTGGCTGGATATGAAATTCTGGGTTGAAAATTCTTTTCTTTAAGAATGTTGAATATTGGCCCCCACTCTCTTCTGGCTTGTAGGGTTTCTGCCGAGAGATCCGCTGTTAGTCTGATGGGCTTCCCTTTGAGGGTAACCCCACCTTTCTCTCTGGCTGCTCTTAACATTTTTTCCTTCATTTCAACTTTGGTGAATCTGACAATTATGTGTCTTGGAGTTGCTCTTCTCAAGTAGTATCTCTGTGGCGTTCTCTGTATTTCCTGAATCTGAACGTTGGCCTTCCTTGCTAGATTGGGGAAGTTCTCCTGGATAATATCCTGCAGAGTGTTTTCCAACTTGGTTCCATTCTCCCCATCACTTTCAGGTACACCAATCAGACGTAGATTTGGTCTTTTCACATAGTCCCATATTTCTTGGAGGCTTTGCTCATTTCTTTTTATTCTTTTTTCTCTAAACTTCCCTTCTCGCTTCATTTCATTCATTTCATCTTCCATTGCTGATACCCTTTCTTCCAGTTGATCGCATCGGCTCCTGAGGCTTCTGCATTCTTCACGTAGTTCTCAAGCCTTGGTTTTCAGGTCCATCAGCTCCTTTAAGCACTTCTCTGTATTGGTTATTCTCGTTATACATTCTTCTAAATTTTTTTCAAAGTTTTCAACTTCTTTGCCTTTGGTTTGAATGTCCTCCCGTAGCTCAGAGTAATTTGATCATCTGAAGCCTTCTTCTCTCAGCTCGTCAAAGTCATTCTCCATCCAGCTTTGTTCCATTGCTGGTGAGGAAATGCGTTCTTTGGAGGAGGAGAGGCGCTCTGCTTTTTGGAGTTTCCAGTTTTTCTGTTCTGTTTTTTCGCCATCTTTGTGGTTTTATCTACTTTTGGTCTTTGATGATGGTGATATACAGATGGGTTTTTGGTGTGGATGTCCTTTCTGTTTGTTAGTTTTCCTTCTAACAGACAGGACCCTCAGCTGCAGGTCTGTTGGAATACTCTGCTGTGTGAGGTGTCAGTGTGCCCCTGTTGTGGGGTGCCTCCCAGTTATGCTGCTCGGGGGTCAGGGACCCACTTGAGGAGGCAGTCTGCCGGTTCTCAGATCTCCAGCTGCATGCTGGGAGAACTACTGCTCTCTTCAAAGCTGTCAGACAGGGACATTTAAGTCTGCAGAGGTTACTGCTGTCTTTTTGTTTGTCTGTGCCCTGCCCCCAGAGGTGGAGCCTACAGAGGCAGGCAGGCCTCCTTGAGCTGTGGTGGGCTCCACCCAGTTCGAGCTTCCTGGCTGCTTTGTTTACCTAAGCTAGCCTGGGCAATGGCAGGCGCCCCTCCCCCAGCCTCGTTGCCACCTTGCAGTTTGATCTCAGACTGCTGTGCTAGCAATCAATGAGACTCCGTGGGTGTAGGACCCTCTGAGCCAGGTGTGGGATATCATCTCGTGGTGCGCCGTTTTTTAAGCTGGTTGGAAAAGCGCAGTATTCGGGTGGGAGTGACCCGATTTTCCAGGTGGGTCCGTCACCCCTTTCTTTGACTCAGAAAGGGAACTCCCTGACCCCTTGCACTTCCCAAGTGAGGCAATGCCTTGCCCTGCTTCGGCTCACACACGGTGCACGCACCCACTGACCTGTGCCCACTGTCTGGCACTCCCAAGTGAGATGAACCCGGTACCTCAGATGGAAATGCAGAAATCACCCATCTTCTGCGTCGCTCATGCTGGGAGCTGTAGACAGGAGCTGTTCCTTTTTGGCCATCTTTGCTCCTCCCTCTTAATTCTTTGTTTATTACTTTTAGTGAATATAATTTTTGCATTGTGCTTACCATAAAGCTTACAAAAATATCTTATAGATATAAAATGTTATTTTAAAGAGATGGCTTATACTAGATAACAAAGAAAAGAACAGAAACAAAGACAAAACCCTGAATTCTACACTTTCACTCTAACCTCCAGATATTTTGACTTTTAGTTGTCTCATTTTGCATATTTTTATACTGCCTTCTCTTAGAAGGTTTCTGTAGCTATTATTATTTTAGATAGACTTGACTTTTGGGTTTCACTAGAGTTATAAAAGGATTGCATACTATACTTATACTATTAGAGTATTCTAGGTTGGTATATGTACTTAATATTACCCAGGGGGGTTTATACCTTTGAGTGTTTTCTTTTAGCATGTTTGTGTTTTTTCTTTTTAGACTGATTAATAAATTTTCTTTATCATTTCTTGTAAGATGGGTCTTACAAGGCCATCTTGTAAGAATGGAAAATTCTCTGTTTTGTTTTTCTGGAAAAGAGTTTATCTTGCCTTCATATTTGAAGGATAGTTTTACTGGATACAGTATTCTTGGATGGCAGGTTTTTTCTTTCAGCACTTTGAAAATATTGTCCTACTCCCTTCTTGACTGTATGGTTTCCGTAAGATAAGTCGGTACTCCTTTACATGTTATTTACTTCTTTTTTCTTGTTGTTTTTAGGCTCCTTTCTTTTTCTTGACCTTTGAAAGTTTAATTTTTATGTGCCTTGAGGTAGTCTTATTTGGGTTGAATCTGTTTGGTATTCTCTGACCTTCCTGTACCTGGATATTTTCCTCTTTCTCAAGTTTTGGAAAGTTTTGTGTTATTTCTTTGAATGCAATCTCTCCCCTTACTCTTGCTTAACTCCCTCTTGAACACAGTAATTCTTAGATTTGGCTATTTAAGGTAACTTATTATATAATTTTGTAATTTTTAGGTATATTTTATAGGCCATCTTCGTTCCTTTTTATTTTTTCTTTTGTATCCTTGGACTATGTATTTTAATCTCTTTTAAAAGTTTCTCTGATAAATTTCTGAATTGCTTTTCTGTGCTATTTTGGTGACCACTGAGTGTCCTTCAAACTTGAAACTGCTGTTTTGAATTCTTGGTTAGAGTTCACATATTGTAGTCTTTTAGAGTCAGTCACTGGTTCCTTTGCCTGTTTGGAAAGACATGGTTTTCTGTTTTCTTCTTCCTTTTTTTTTGTTTTGAGTGTCTTTACATTGAATGCTTAGTCATTTTGTCCAGTCTTCTCTATCTGGCACGTTTTATTTTATTTTATTTTTAATGTGATGCTTAGAGATTTTTTTTGTTTGCCTCAGTTCTAGTAAACAGAGTGCTGTCTGTCCCCAAAGAGGGAGGTCCCAAAAAGGATGTCCCAGTAGTGTTGGAAGGCTAGCTAGGGATTAGTGCCCAGGGGACCTGTGGAATCACCTCCTGCAGTAATATGCTGCTGCTCAACAGCCACTCTGATTTGGTGTCTCCTTTGACCGAGTAACAGGGCAGAGTTTCCAGGTCTAGGGATGGTTGCCCTGCCACCCCTGTTTGTTTCTGGCTGTCCTCAGGGACATTTCTCTCTTCAGGCACTCCTGATACTTCTTGTAGGTTGAGGCAGACACAGGTTCTGGTAGGGAAACCAAGATGATGGGGAAGTTGGCTGTTTACCTCAATCTCACTTTTTCCAGTGTAGAAACCATGAGTCAGAGGGAAATTTTCTGCATATTTAGTGCTGGGCAGACTGGGGATAGAGGCATTGCAGACATGGAAGTCTTATTCTCTTATTATCTGTTTGGAGTTTTTTCATTTCTCTGTGACCCTGGGAAATGTTTCCTCCTCATATTTGAGTTCTGGGTTATTTCTGGCGATAATTTAAGCACTATATATTTGCTTTTGGTTTTCTGTGGGGAGTGGGGGAGTTAAGCCAACTTGTTTCTACACCACTATTTTGGAACTGGAAGTCATCACAAAGCCTTTTCGTGCTCTACTTTTCATGCTGACTAGACTGTCATTTCATCTCGTTGCAATATTTTATTTCTGACATGACCATACTAGTACATGTCACAAGAGGAACATTTACTTCTTTAGCTGACATGTACAGTACTTTCCCTTTATCCATGGAGGATATGTTCCAAGACCTCCAGTGGATGCCTGAAATTCCAGATAGTACTGAAGTATACACTATGTTTTTTTTCCTATTCATATGTAAACAAAGAAGTATCTGAGACAGGTCTCAATCAATTTAGAACTATATTTTGTTAAGGTTAAGTACATGCCCAGGAGAGAGGTCTGTGCATTTCTCCAAAGATGATTTTGAGGGCTTCAGTATTTAAAGGGAAAAAGTGGGCTGGAAGGGAAAAAGGGAGGGCATGGTCATGTTACCAAATCCACATGTTGTCCGAAAAAAAGAGCAGGTAGGGTAATAGTCAATTATGTTTTCATCTCATACTCAATAAATTGGCATTTTACATAAGATGCAATGAACACAGAGTAGGTATGTGTGGAGATATTTAACCTTTTATCTGTAGCTATCTGCTTAGGAACAAAAGGAAAGGCAATTGTTTGCATGACTCAGTTTTCAGCTTAACTTTTTCCTTTTGGCATAGTAAATTGGGGTCCCAAGTTTTTATTTTCCTTTCACATATACATACCTATGATAGAGTTTAATTTATAAATTAGGCAAAGTAAGAGATTAACAACAATCAATAATAAAGCAGAACAATTATAATAGTATAGTGGAATAAAAGTTGTGTGAAGGTGGTCTTTCTCTCTCAAAATAATTTGTTGTACATATTTTCAGACCCTGGCTGACCACGGATAACTGAAACTGTGGATAAGCAGGGACTACAGCACCCATTTCGAAGGCTATCCATGTTGCTCTGTGAAGGTACTTCTGGTGACCAACCTTGGACCAGATTTCAGAACTCTGCAGCAACAACCTCTTTACAACAATGAATTCTGTATCGAATAGATCTCTGCTCAACAGCCCCAAGTCACTTTCCCTTGCAGAAGATTATCTTCATTCAAACAGAAGTTTCAGAGAGTTCACATTTCTTTAAAAGAGGTGGAAAATATAGTTGGGTTTAAATGCTCATGTAGAATTCTATTATTTGCCACTCCATGGTTTAATTTCTAAAGCTGCCTGCCATGTGTGACTTGTCTCTGTTGTGTATTGGTTAAGTGTGCAGGGTCTCCAACTAGGCTAAGTCACCCTATATTCTGGCTTCATCATTACTTGTGAAACTTAGGCACATTACTTAACCTCTCAAAGTCTTAGCTTATTCCGCTGTAAAGTGGGCATCATGATTGCATTTACCTCATAGAATTGTGTGAATTAAATAAAATATATATAAAGCATTTACTATAGTGCATAGCACATAGGAAGAACTCACTAAATATTAAAACTTATCATTTTATTATTAGAAATAAACATATGCCTATATTCTTTATGTACAGCATATTAGGTAAGAGCATGGGCTTTAATGCCAGGTCCACATTTGCTAGGTATGTGACCTGAGAAAAGTTCCTTAAGCAGCCTGAACCTTAGCTTCCTCATCTGTCTAATGGACAGGAGTAGGTACTTTGTAAGGTAGCAGGAAATAATTTGAATTATCTTAGATAATATTCATAAAGCACTTACTGAAAAACTGAATAAGCATGGCTATCGTTATTCTTATTATGAAGTTTTCCTCTCTGGATTCTTCTAACTGTGATAGTTTTCTCTGTAAGCATGTGAAGAGCATATAACTTTATTTCTGCAAATATCACATGCTGAATTGCATGGTTTAACCTGTTATACGTGTATCCTTCCCTCCATCTAGGTTATAAGTCCCTGGATGAAAGCCTTTATGTTAACATTGCCATCCACATAAATTTCCCTACACATATATTCATTTAATACATATTTGTATGTGGTTGTGGGGTTCATATACTATATAAATATGAATGTTTTGAGAATCAACAAGTTTTGCCGAATGACTAGTAAAACATTCATTCATTTAACATACATATTGAGAATGCACTGTGTTCCAGGCACTGTTTTAGGCTCTGGGGCTATCGCAGCAAACAAAGAGATTTTATTTCAAAGAATAAGGTGTGTATTTTACTCTGTGGCAGTTTGGTGTTGAGCACATGCTGGTGAAACATGAAAATGGAAAGATGGGGATGAAAAAGTTTCAGTGTCGAGATGGTGAGGTAGATCATGTGAGAGGTCAAAATGTTGATTATGTTGTAGAGAGAACTGAGATATTGTTCCTTGAAATCTTGAACTGCTGTGCCATATTCCCTTTAGCAACTTCAGTTTTTGCTTCCTTGTCTCATGGCTGCAATTCTGCCTCTGGCCCTGCCTGTCTCCTTTGTCCATCACTAATGCCTATGGCACTTATTGGACCTCTCACTGTGGCTTGGATGTTCGCTTAAATTGTTTCTGTCCTTTGATATTTGTCTGATATTTTAATGCAGGCAGTTGGGGGAGGGAAGAAGAAATGATTTACCCGTTCTTAAGGTTGGTAATTATTGATTAGAGGTAATCTATAAAAGAAAAGAGAATACTAGGGTAATCAAATCCACTCCATATGAAGTTTTTGTTTATACAATAAGCATTTGTTCAGTTTGTGAAGACTAGTCTGTACTTAAAGTGCCATGTAATATATGCAGTGCTACATGTACATCAGTTACATGCTCTTTGTGTTGCTTTGCAGGGACTTGGGGGTGGAGAGGAGAGATTACAAGGAAATGAGATCTTCATCTGAAAGCAGATGTGTAAGCTACTGGCCAGCCAGGGATTATAGAAGGCTTTTCTCCTTGTTGCAGTTCTAAGAAATCTAGGATCAGTGAAAAGTCTGTGCAGAGACGCTCTATTTTACTCACAAGATTTTTGGGCAGACATACTCCACAGCTATGGTTTTATTTTCCTCCAATTTTATCATATTCTTTCTCTCATCTAGCAGCATCTGTGTTTCAAGTTATTTTTCATTCATTTCTTTATATCCTGGGACACTGGAATATAATGTTCAAAGATCAGTTTAATATTTTCTGGGAAATCTAATAGTGCTGAATGACATACCTATTGGTCACTGTAATATATTTAATGACAGAAACAAAGATACTGGATCAACTTCTGCTTTTTATTCTGACCTAGGCAGCTCCTGCACCTCTTTCTGACTCAACACAAAATGGGTGAACCTTAAAAATGACTCATCAGTTTTTTCCTAACCCATGTCTACTGCTTGTGAACTCTAATAAGATCTCTGAAAGGAAAAATCAAATGCTTAAAAAAAAAGATTTCTTGCCTCAATTTAAGCCTTCTTAATTGAATAGGTAGCATTTCCAAACATGCAAGATATCCTCATAAAGCTAAAACTCTGCTTAATCTATAATCTTGAAATTGTTCCAGAAAACACACAGAAATTCCACAGGAAGCAATTAAGCCAAGCAGTTTAATTTAATAACAAAAATAAGGTAGAAATGAGGTTGAGTGACTGTATATTAAACATATACTGTAGCCATGTCTAGCGTGTTGACAGTCATCAGATATTTTCAGCATATCTCCCAGTCCAATAGACTGGATAAAGAAAATGTGGAACTTATACCCCATGGAATACTACACAGCCATAAAAAATGAGATTGTGTCCTTTGCAAGGATATGGATAGACATGGAGTTATCCATAACAAACTAACACAGGAACAGAAAACCAAATATCTCATGTTCTCACTTATAAGTGGGAGCTGAATGATGAGAACACATGGACACATGGACCCAAAGAGGGGAACAACACACATGGGGGCCTACTGGAAGGTGGAGGGTAGGAAGAGAGAGAGGATCAGGGAAAATAACTAATGGGTACTAGGATTAATACCTGGGTGATGAAAAAATCTGTACAACAAACCCCCATAATACAAGTTTACCTATGTAACTAATCTGCTCTTTTACCCTTGAACTTAAAATTTTAAAAAGTTAAAGTCTTATACAAATTATAGAATAAACTTAGGGGCTTAGTGTTGGGGATGCATAGGGTGGATGTAATGTTGAGATGTACTGTGATTTTTCCTCTGTTCTATAGTTGAAATTGAGGAGTCAGAACTGGGGATATTCTATTACATCTGTAAAAACCTAGTTGCTTCTCAGATTAAGATTTTGAAGGATCAAATTACCAGTAAAATAATTTATTTGGGGCATTGGCTTACTGAAATGGCTGATAATGAAATTATCTGTCTGATATCTAATTTTTAGAAGTATGTTTTATGACTAAGACTTGTCCATTATCATTTTAGGCAACAGTTTGGAACTTCTTTTTTAAAAAAATATTAGAGGATGTATGTTTGTAAAACAAAATTTTAAATAGAATTCCAATTATCAACGAGGGACTGATCTGCCTGTGATATGGTTCCTCCTGCTTCCCATTACATCTAATGTAGCACATACAAAGAACCCCAGGCCTCTGTAGATAAGTGTGAAAGTCACTCTCCCAGGTTTTAAATTCCCAAAGGCCACAATAGACCGGTGGTTAAGGAATCCTGCTCTGAAGCCAGATGGATTTGGGTTCTAATCCTAGCCCTGGGAGTTACTGGTCTTGTGAACTTGGGAGAGTCATTTAACTTTACATGCTTCATTTTCCTTAGTTCTAAAATGGGGATGATAATGTCAATGACATGATGTTATAAGGAGTAAATGAGATATTTCAGGGATTCTTAATTTTGGAGGGTCATAGAAGCCTTTGGTATAATTGGAAAATATCATATATAGAGTTATAGAGAAAACCAGTTATATTCAATTATATTGAAATATAGTTATCAAAATATTAAAGATCATGTGAAATAGTAATATATGTGAATCTTTACACATTAACAAGTTTTAATCATGAGTCAAATAACAAAGTTTCAATGTAGTAATGAACATAAACAAGTTTTTAGAGATAGTTGTTGTAAGTATAATGTATGATGAAAATAATTTGTTATTTCTATAGAGGGAAATAATAGAATTCTACTGGAAGAAATGATAAATTTCAGTTAAGGTTTAGTAAAAATAATGATGTAATTTTTCCTATTCAAACATATGGATTCCTAGATTCTACTGAAATCTGAGTTAAAATGTCCTGTATTAGAGGGTTTAGCATAGTATGTTTTGAATAGGGGCTTAAGGTGTTTGGTGTTACAATTATTACCAACACCATCATGACCAATTTCATCATTTCAGAAGGTAGGAATATGTATTTGGAATTATTAGTTAAGTGATAATGTTTTAAGGTTCTTCAATGACACTAGAAAAAAATTAAGAAATTGACAATATGGAGTGAAATATTTTTTCCTAAGTTATACATTCATGTGAGCTATATATAAGTGTTACCTTTCAAAACTTTAGTGAAAATAAATGAGTATAAACTAGTGATGGAACTAGTGAAAGAATGATCTCCTGTGCCTGTAATTTTAGTTCTTCCCATCAGGTGGCAGTAAAGCAATGTGAGTCAGTTTTTTACATACTCTTAACCAAAAAAAACCCCACTAAAATATAACAGTTTGATATTTCATTAAAACTCCATGCAAGGATATTTTCTTAAAGCCAAGTAAAAAGCATTAGAACTATTAACAATTAGATGACTTGTCATCTCCAAAGTTTTTATCTATTTGACAAGTTTTTTTTTCCTTTTCAATTATAATCCTAGTATGTTTTTGTTCTCATCATTCATCTCCACATTTTGTCACATTGAACAGATACATTATCTGACTTTAAAAAACACAGAAGGTTATATGCATGTCTTCAGAAGCCTGTTACAGAGGCAACAATGAATTTTATAACTCAACATCTAGTTTGCATTTTGTCTGTATCATATATTGATTATGCTTTATATAAATAGAAACATGCATAGTAATATATCTGAGTCTTTACACATTAACAAGTTGAAGCCATTAACTCTTGAATAGAATTCCATTGTGTGAATATACCACAATTTATTCATTTTTCTGTATTGGCATTTGATATTTTCCAGTTCGAGACCATTAAGAATAGTGCTGTTATGAATATAACAATTCCAAGGTTTAGCAGAGCACAGTGAATGATTTGTTTGGCATTTACCTAAGAGTAGAATTGTTGGGTCTTATTGTGTACATATAAGCTAAGACACAGAATAAAAGTATCAAAACAAACTCAATATATCAGAGATCTTACACCTTAGCAAGCTTTACTAATTAATTTCAATTTGAAAACAATCATTTCAGAAAAAGCAGAGATAAGATAGGGGCATTGAGGCTGGCTTCCCAGGTTCTGTTTTCTTCTGTGAGACATGTCTTTCTGGCTCAGAATAAAAGATGAGACCTCTATATTAAGTTTGCAGCACCATTTCACACAGCGGGAGCATTTAAATTGGGAAGTCAAAAAATTTTGAAGTCAAAGAATTATGTAACTTAAATGACATTCTCATGAGAGCCATTTCTTGTATATCTTGGGTTTGTTTTTCATAGGTAATCCTGAACCAGGACATCCTGCCAGGGACATTTTGGAGATAAAGTCACTTCTTCCTAGCAAATATTATTAATCTATTTATTTGGAGGTCCAGTTATGAAGATTAGAGTGGATGGACTAAAGAGCCTTTCTGTCACCCAAGGGCTTCCATTTGTGAGGATAATGAATGAATTAAAACCCAGCTACTTGAACTCTTTCTTCCCAGCATGGGTGGCTTTAGTAGATACTGCCAAAAAGTTTTACAAAGTGATTGTAGTATTTTACTCTCCCAGGAGAAGTGTATAAGTGTGTAAGATGTTATTAACACTTATTTTCCATTTTTGTTCTGTTGTTGTTTATTTTCCTCTTTACCATTATGGTAAGCATGTAATAAAACCTTTTTGTAGTTTTAACTTGCATTTATGAGATGAACTATGAAGTTGAACACCTTTTCATATCTTTGTTATCTTTGTTGGCTTTTTGAGCATTGTCTTTTGTAAAGTGTTCAGAAATTTTTCTTTTTTTAAAGAAAATTTATTTTATTTTTATTTTTTATTTTTTTTTATTTTACTTTAAGTATTAAGGTACATGTGCACAACGTGCAGGTTTGTTACATATGTATACATGTGCCATGTTGGTGTGCTGCACCCATTAACTCTTCATTTAATATTAGGTATATCTCCTAATGCTATCCCTCCCCCCTCCCCCTACCCCAAAACAGGCCCTGGTGTGTGATGTTCCCCTTCCTGTGTCCATGTGTTCTCATTGTTGAATTCCCACCTATGAGTGAGAACATGCGGTGTTTGATTTTTGGTCCTTGCGATAGTTTGCTGATAATGATGGTTTCCAGCTTCATCCATGTCCCTACAAAGGACATGAACTCATCATTTTTTATGGCTGCATAGTATTCCATGGTGTATATGTGCCACATTTTCTTAATCCAGTCTATCATTGTTGGACATTTGGGTTGGTTCCAAGTCTTTGCTATTGTGAATAATGCCGCAATAAACATACGTGTGCATGTGTCTTTATAGCAGCATGATTTAGAGTCATTTGGGTATATACCCAGTAATGGGATTGCTGGGTCAAATGGTATTTCTAGTTCTAGATCCCTGAGGAATCACCACACTGACTTCCACAATGGTTGAGCTAGTTTACAGTCCCACCAACAGTGTAAAAGTGTTCCTATTTCTCCACATCCTCTCCAGCACCTGTTGTTTCCTGACTTTTCAATGATCGCCATTCTAACTGGTGTGAGATGGTATCTCATTGTGGTTTTGATTTGCATTTCTGTGATGGCCAGTGATGATGAGCATTTTTTCATGTGTCTTTTGGCTGCATAAATGTCTTCTTTTGAGAAGTGTCTGTTCATATCCTTCACCCACTTTTTGATGGGGTTGTTTGTTTTTTTCTTGTAAATTTGTTTAAGTTCATTGTAGATTCTGGATATTAGCCCTTTGTCTGATGAGTAGACTGCAAAAATTTTCTCCCATTCTGTAGGTTGCCTTTTCACTCTGATGGTAGTTTCTTTTGCTGTGCAGAAGCTCTTTAGCTTAATTAGATCCCATTTGTCAATTTTGGCTTTTGTTGCCATTGCTTTTGGTGCTTTAGACATGAAGTCCTTGCCCATGCCTATGTCCTGAATGGTAATGCCTAGGTTTTCTGCTAGGGTTTTTATGGTTTTAGGTCTAACATTTAAGTCTTTAATCCATCTTGAATTAATTTTTGTATAAGGTGTAAGGAAGGGATCCAGTTTCAGCTTTCTACATATGGCTAGCCAGTTTTCCCAGTACCATTTATTAAATAGGGAATCCTTTCCCCATTTCTTGTTTTTGTCAGGTTTGTCAAAGATCAGATAGTTGTAGATATGTGGCATTATTTCTGAGGGCTCTGTTCTATTCCATTGGTCTATATCTCTGTTTTGGTACCGGTACCATGCTGTTTTGGTTACTGTAGCCTTGTAATAGGGTCTGAAGTCAGGTAACATGATGCCTCCAGCTTTGTTCTTTTGGCTTAGTATTGACTTGGCAATGCGGGCTCTTTTTTGGTTCCATATGAACTTTAAAGTAGTTTTTTCCAATTCTGTGAAGAAAGTCATTGGTAGCTTGATGGGGATGGCATTGAACCTATAAATCACCTTGGTCAGTATGGCCATTTTCATGATATTGATTCTTCCTACCCACGAGCATGGAATGTTCTTCCATTTGTTTGTATCCTCTTTTATTTCATTGAGCAGTGTTTTGTAGTTCTCCTTGAAGAGGTCCTTCACATCCCTTGTAAGTTGGATTCCTAGGTATTTTATTCTCTTTGAAGCAATTGTGAATGGGAGTTCACTCATGATTTGGCTCTCTGTTTGTCTGTTATTGGTGTATAAGAAAGCTTGTGATTTTTGCACATTGATTTTGTATGCTGAGACTTTGCTGAAGTTGCTTATCAGCTTAAGGAGATTTTGGCCTGAGACAATGGGGTTTTCTAGATATACAATCATGTCATCTGCAAACAGGGACAATTTGACTTCCTCTTTTCCTAATTGAATACCATTTATTTCCTTCTCCTGCCTGACTGCCCTGGCCAGAACTTCCAACACTATGCTGAATAAGAGTGGTGAGAGAGGGCATCCCTGTCTTATATGAGTTTTCAAAGGGAATGCTTCCAGTTTTTGCCCATTCAGGATGATATTGGCTGTGGGTTTGTCACAGATAGCTCTTATTATTTTGAGATACATCCCATCAATACCTAATTTATTGAGAGTTTTTAGCATGAAGTGTTGTTGAATTTCGTCAAAGGCCTTTTCTGCATCTATTGAGATAATCATGTGGTTTTTGTCGTTGGTTCTGTTTATATGCTGGGTTACGTTTATTGATTTGCATATGTTAAACCAGCCTTGCATCCCAGGGATGAAGCCCACTTGATCATGGTGGATAAGCTTTTTGATGTGCTGCTGGATTCGGTTTTCCAGTACTTTATTGAGGATTTTTGCATCGACGTTCATCAGGGATATTGGTCTAAAATTCTCTTTTTTTGTTGTGTCTCTGCCAGGCTTTGGTTTCAGGATGATGCTGGCCTCATAAAATGAGTTAGGGAGGATTCCCTCTTTCTCTATTGATTGGAATAGTTTCAGAAGGAATGGTACCAATTCCTCCTTGTACCTTTGGTAGAATTCGGCTGTGAATCCATCTGGTCCTGGACTTTTTTTGGTTGGTAAGCTATTAATTGTTGCCTCAATTTCAGAGCCTGTTATTAGTCTATTAAGAGATTCAACTTCTTCCTGGTTTAGTCTTGGGAGGGTGTATGTGTCGAGGAATTTATCCATTTCGTCTAGATTTTCTAGTTTATTTGCATAGAGGTGTTTATAGTATTCTCTGATGGTAGTTTCTATTTCTGTGGGATCGGTGGTGGTATCTCCTTTATCATTTTTCATTGTATCTATTTGATTCTTCTCTCTTTTCTTCTTTATTAGTCTTGCTAGTGGTGTATCAATTTTGTTGATCTTTTCAAAAAACCAGCTCCTGGATTCATTGATTTTTTGAAGGGTTTTTTGTGTCTCTGTTTCCTTCAGTTCTGCTCTGATCTTAGTTATTTCTTGCCTTCTGCTAGCTTTTGAATGTGTTTGCTCGTGCTTCTCTAGTTCTTTTAATTGTGATGTTGGGGTGTCAATTTTAGATCTTTCCTGCTTTCTCTTGTAGGCATTTAGTGCTATAAATTTCCCTCTACACACTGCTTTGAATGTGTCCTAGAGTTTCTGGTATGTTGTGTCTTTGTTCTCATTAGTTTCAAAGAACATCTTTATTTCTGCCTTCATTTCTTTATGTACCCAGTAGTCATTCAGGAGCAGGTTGTTCAGTTTCCATGTAGTTGAGCGGTTTTGAGTGAGTTTCTTAATCCTGAGTTCTAGTTTGATTGTACTGTGGTCTGAGAGATAGTTTGTTATAATTTCTGCTCTTTTACATTTGCTGAGGAGTGCTTTACTTCCAACTATGTGGTCAATTTTGGAATAGGTGTGGTGTGGTGCTGAAAAGAATGTACATTCTGTTGATTTGGGGTGGAGAGTTCTGTAGATGTCTACCACTTTGTGTAGAGCTGAGTTCAGTTCCTGGATATCCTTGTTAACTTTCTGTCTCAATGATCTGTCTAATGTTGACAGTGGGGTGTTAAATTCTCCCATTATTATTATTGTGTGGGAGTCTAAGTCTCTTTATAGGTCTCTAAGGACTTGCTTTATGAATGTGGGTGCTCCTGTATTGGGTGCATATATATTTAGGATAGTTAGCTCTTCTTGTTGAATTGATCCCTTTACCATTATGTAATGACCTTCTTTGTCTCTTTTGATCTTTGTTGATTTAAAGGCTGTTTTATCCGAGACTAAGATTGCAACCCCTGCCTTTTTTTGTTTCCCATTTGCTCGGTAGATCTTCCTCCATCCCTTTATTTTGAGCCTATGTGTGTCTCTGCACGTGAGATGGGTTTCCTGAATACAGCACACTGATGCGTCTTGACTCTTTATCCAATTTGCCAGTCTGTGTCTTTTAATTGGAGCATTTAGCCCATTTACATTTAAGGTTAATATTGTTATGTGTGAATTTGATCCTGTCATTATGATGTTAGCTGGTTATTTTGCTCGTTAGTTGATGCAGTTTCTTCCTAGCCTCAATGGTCTTTACAATTTTGCATGATTTTGCAGTGGCTGGTACTGGTTGTTCCTTTCCATGTTTAGTGCTTCCTTCAGGAGCTCTTGTAAGGCAGGCCTGGTGGTGGCAAAACCTGTCAGCATTTGCTTGTCTGTAAAGTATTTTATTTCTCCTTCACTTATGAAGCTTAGTTTGGCTGGATATGAAATTCTGGGTTGAAAATTCTTTTAAGATGTTGAATACTGGCCTCCAGTCTCTTCTGGCTTGTAGAGTTTCTGCCGAGAGATCCGTTGTTAGTCTGATGGGCTTCCCTTTGTGGGTAACCCGACTTTTCTCTCTGGCTGCCCTTAACATTTTTTCCTTCATTTCAACTTTGGTGAATCTGACAATTATGTGTCTTGGAGTTGCTCTTCTCGAGGAGTATCTTTGTGGCCTTCTCTGTATTTCCTGAATTTGAATATTGGCCTGCCTTGTTAGATTGGGGAAGTTCTCCTGGATGATATCCTGCAGAGTGTTTTCCAACTTGGTTCCATTCTCCCCATCACTTTCAGGTACACCAATCAGACGTAGATTTGGTCTTTTCACATAGTCCCATATTTCTTGGAGGTTTTGTTCATTTTTTTAATTCTTTTTTCTCTAAACTTCTCTTCTAGCTTCATTTCATTCATTTGATCTTCCATCACTGATATCCTTTCTTCCAGTTGATTGAATTGACTACTGAGGCTTGTGCATTTGTCATGTAGTTCTCGTGCCTTGGTTTTCAGCTCCTTTAGGTCCTTTAAGGACTTCTCTGCATTGGTTATTCTAGTTAGCCATTCATCTAATTTTTTTTCAAGGTTTTTATCTTCTTTGCCATGGGTTTGAAACTCCTTCTTTAGCTCGGACTAGTTTGATCATCTGAAGACTTCTTCTCTCAACTCGTCAAAGTCATTCTCTGTCCAGCTTTGTTCCATTGCTGGTGAGGAGCTGCGTTCCTTTGGAGGAGGAGAGGCACTCTGAATTTTGGAGTTTCCAGTTTTTCTGCTCTGTTTTTTCCCCATCTTTGTGGTTTTATCTACCTTTGGTCTTTGATGATGGTGATGTACAGATGGGGTTTTGGTGTGGATGTCCTTTCTGTTCATTAGTTTTCCTTCTAACAGTCAAGACCCTCAGCTGCAGGTCTGTTGGAGTTTGCTAGAGGTCCACTCCAGACCCTGTTTGCCTGGGTATCAGCAGCAGAGGCTGCAGAACAGCGGATATTGGTGAACAGCAAATGTTGCTCTCTGATCATTCCTCTGGAAGTTTTGTCTCAGAGGAGTACCAGGCTGTGTGAGGTGTCAGTCTGCCCCTACTGGGGGCTGCCTCCCTGTTAGACTACTCGGGGGTCAGGGACCCACTTGAGGAGGCAGTATGTCCATTCTCAGATCTTCAGCTGTGTGCTGGGAGAACCACTACTCTCTTCAAAGCTGTCAGACAGGGACATCTAAGTCTGCAGCGTTTTCTGCTGCCTTTTGTTTGGCTATGCCCTGCCCCCAGTGGTGGAGTCTACAGAGGTAGGCAGGCAGGCCTCCTTGGGCTACGGTGGGCTCCAGCCAGTTCTAGCTTCCCGGCTGCTTTGTTTACCTACTCAAGCCTCGGCAATGGCGGGCACCCCTCCCCCAGCCTTGCTGCCACCTTGTAGTTTGATCTCAGACTGCTGTGCTAGCAATGAGTGAAGCTCCTTGGGCATAAGACCCTCTGAGCCAGGTGTGGGATATAATCTCCTGGTGTGCCATTTGCTAAGACCATTGGAAAATTGCAGTATTAGGGTGGGAGTGACTCAATTTTCCAGGTGCTGTCTGTCACCCCTTTCTTTGACTAGGAAAGGGAATTCCCTGACCACTTGTGCTTCCTGGGTGAGGCGATGCCTCACCCTGCTTTGGCTCATGCTTGGTGGGCTGCACCCATTGTCCTGCACCCACTGTCTGACACTCTCCAGTGAGATGAACCCAGTACCTCAGTTGGAAATGCAGAAATCACCCATCTTCCGCGTCGCTCACACTGGGAGCTGTAGACTGGAGCTGTTCCTATTTGGCCATCTTGGCTCCACCCTTGTTCAGAAATTTTTACCCAATTTTTGCTGGCTTTGTGTGTCCTTTCCTGTTGATTCATGAGAGTTTTTACATATTCAGGATAGAATTTTTTGCATATATGTGTTATTAATACCTTTTTCTACTCCATGTGCTTCCTTTTTATTCTTAGTATTTTTCTGATGAGTAGAAATTCTTAATAATATTATTATCTAGTGTTCCATGTCTTTTTAACATATAAAGCTACTTACTAAATTTATATTCCAATTTTCTCTACTCCTCAGACTAATTAAGAAAATAAAGGGCCCAGACAGTGTGAATGAAGATGATACCTTAGAAGGAAGAAAAGAGGAGAACTGTAAATGATTTTATGATACTTTGTCCATGTCACATAACCATATAATGCACATTGTCACATTTTATATTCTGAATGGCTGGCCATGTTGTCTTCTGAGAGTTTTGGCTTTAGGAGGCCTGATAATTTTTTGTTTCTCATAGCTCAGCCGTATCTGTTTATTTGCCACTTTTACCTATAAGATGTTGCTTAAATCCTATTTTCCACATTAGACATGCAGAGACTGTGTGTGTTTGTGTGTGTATGTGTGTGTTCTCTACGCAGCATTATAACAAAGTCATTCCACATCTACTTTTGTTCCCTAGATAGAAAAGATTTTCTAAAGCATTTCAAGGAAAGTAGTCTTTATCAATAAGTTCCTTCTTCAGCCCCTTCTTAAAGATTACTTATTGGAAGAGGGAATTGTAAGAAATTTGTCTCTAATTTCTCACAATATATAACTTTCTGCTTTTAGTAGTGTCAGGTTTTTGAACTTTAGCCATTCTAATAATAGAAATGTAGTGTTATATCATCGTTTTAATTTGCAATTCTCTAATGATAACTGATGTTGAACATCTTTTTATACACTTATTTGCTATCTGTATATCTTCATTATTGAAGTGTCTATTCAGATCTTTTGCTTGCTTTTTAACTGGTTGTTTGTTTTTTAATGTTGCTATAATTGCATGTTAGTTTTAAGGGTACTTTGTATATTTTAGTTTGCAGTCCTTTATCAGATATGGGTTTGCCAATATTATCACTCAGACTGGGGCTTGCCTTTTGATTTTCTTCTGTCTTTCACAAAGAAGATGTTTTTAATTTTAATAGAGTCCCGCATTTTTCTTTTACAGATGATACTTTTGTATTGCATCTAAAATTTCTTTGTTCCAACTTCATTTGTTGAAAAGATGATTCTTTGAATTGCCTTTACTCTTTTGTGAAAGACCAGTTGGCTCTACATGTGTGGATCTGTTACCGGGCTTTCTATTCTTTTTCAGTGATTTATTAATATGTACCTATTTTTTCACCAGTACCAGACTGTTCTGACTATGGTAGCTTAGGAAGTCTTGAAGTTGAGAAGGGTCGGTCCTGCAACTTTGTTCTTCTTCAGGAGTGTGTTAGTTATTTGAGATCTTTTGTCTTTCTGCATAACTTTAGAATCAGTTTGCCAATATGCACAAAATTGCTACTTGGGGTATTGATTGGGATTTCTTTGAATCTATAGGTCAAATTGGGAAGAAATTGACATCTTAAAATATTAAGTTTTCTAATAAATGACTATGAAATATCTCAGCATTTGTTTAGATATCTTTGATTTTCTTCATCAGAGTTTTGCACTTTTCAACATGAAAAGCCTGAACATTTTGCTGGTTATATTTTGATGTATTCATTTTTGGGGTGCTATTGTAAATGATATTGTATTTTCAATTTCAAATTCTAATTGTTCATTTCTAGTATGTAGGGAAGCAATAGACTTTTGTATATGAACTTTGTATCCTACAACCTTGCTATAATTGCATATTAATTCCAAGAATTTTCCTGTCAATCCTTTGGGATTTTCTACGCAGACAACCATGTAATCTGTGAAAAGGAAGTTTTATTTCTTTCTTCCTAATTTGTGTTCATTTTATTTCCTTTTCTCATCTTATCATACTAGCCAGGACTTTCAGTACAATGTTGAATAGGAATGATGAGAGAAGACATCCTTGACTTCTTCTTAACCTTAATAAGACAGTATCCAGTTTCTCCCAATAAGCATAATATATTAAAAACTGTATAGTTTCTATAGATGTTCTTCATTAAGTTGAAGTAATTCTCCCTCATTTTGAGCTTGCTGAGAGTGTGTGTTGTGAATGGGTGATGAATTTTTTTGAAATGCATTTTCCACATCAGTTGGTATGATCATATGATTTTTCTCCTTTAGGCTGTTGATGTGATTGATTTTTGAAAGCTGAACTAGCTATGCCTATCTAAGATAAATCTTACTTGGTCATTGTATATCATTCCTTTTAGTTGTTCTACTTTTAATTAGCACTAAGATATAAAGGCATAATTTAATGTTTTATATATTTATAATTTGCAACAAAAATTATGACTGTTATTTGCATCTCTTATTATCCAAAATATTTTTGTTATTTAGTAAATGCATAATAAGTATTTGCCAATTGCTTTCTTTAACAATCAGCAGCTATTGTCAAAAGGTGACAAAGTAGAGAAAACTCCTTGGAACATTACTTGTTAGACTGAAGCTAATCCTGGGATTAAAAATTTATCATTTTTATTAGAGGCTCTCTTCTTCAATGAAGCCATTGAAGCAATCTACTTCAGTTTCTCCATTATAGATATCAATATTTATTCATTCAATGAACTATAAAGAAGCAATAAAATTATAAAAGTAAGAAGCTACAAAGTTATCAAAATAAAGTAAAATAGCATTTAGGAAGAAAGGACAGCAAAAAAGGCAGCCAGCCTATCCTATAGAAAATGATGGAGAAATTAGTTACATTTTTTTTTGCTGGTCCCAGAAAAAGGAATGTTTGAAATGACTTGGAGGTAAAGTATTGTGAATTATGATATCTGAAATGTGTGAGAAATATTAGAGAGAGAAACAAACCTATTTCCAAGGAAAGTACCACAACAGTCCTGGAAATGATCCAATGGCAAAACATTTTTGAGCTGTGTTGGCAGTCTCATCAGTGATTGAATGGAATCCAGGAAGACTGGTGTGGTGGTGTGGAAGAAATGCAGTAATAGCAGAAAGTAATATCAAGTCAGTGTTTTGATGTTACTGTTGGATCTTGGAATTATTGAACTATAAAACCCGCCATGAGGAAATGAATAAAATACAAAATACTTTGCCCACTTCCATTCAATAAGTGTAAGAAAAGCACACCTTGCTTTTCTTGCTTAAGAAGGCTTAAGAAAAACAAGCACCTTGTTGTGAACAACCATATACTTTCCATTTAAATGTGAATCAGAATAATCTTATGAATAGAGATACCAAGTTCTTAGAATTTACCTATGGTTGTGCATGTAGCATGGAGCCAGTCATTACGAATCTCTTTGTTACACACCCTGAGGTAAGCACAACTTTTTTCTTCAGAGAAAGTTCTTGCAATTTTGTGCGATTTTGAAATAAGAAATCACCTTTGAGAATGATGAAAGAGCAGTGTACATATATATAAAGGACCTAGTAAGTTTAGCATTTCACATATATAACTCACAGATGTATCCATTATACTATTCAAATTTTTGATGTATAATTAATGAACAGCCAGTTTATGTGGAATGATCTATTTTATTTGTTACCTGAAAGCAATCTGGAAATGTTGCTTACAGAAAAAAAGTCTTAATACAGAAAGGTAAAACTTATTTTTATTGTTTGTAATATATGCATGCTATTTTATTGATTTTTTGTGTCCAAAGGCAGCCTCTCTGTTTTCTTGTGTTAATGTGAAGTAAATTATGATTAATTTCCACTAACTTTCTTTCTCATGAAACTCTAGTTATCATACGATTCCTGTGGCATATCAATCAGATTGGCCTACTCTGCACCATTTCTTTCCCCTTCTAGATGGCCTCCCTACATTTCAGAAGCTGGCCAGCTACAAATTAAACATTAAGATTCCCTTGCAGCTGGGGTTCTACGTGTGTTTCTGTTTCTCCATGCAGATATATTCACAGAAGACTTGGGGGCAGAAGTGAGCAATAACACACGGTGGCACCACAGGTGAGAAGGAGCCTCCTGGGAGCATGTTTGAGAAAATTAACATGACTCATGTTCTGGAGCAGAACCATGAGAAGAGGGTTTCAGGGGAAAGAATTGGCAATCACATCCTGCAAGTCCTTGTAGAAGGAAAACCTTTGGAAGATCATGAGCGGAAAGACATCATCTGACTTAAATGTTAAAGGAATTGCTTTGGGTGATGTGTTGAAGAGATTCTAATGTGGTAGGGTGGAAACAGAAAGGCTAGTTAGGACGTCAACACAATAATCTAGAGAGAGATGATGGTGACTCCAGGTATTAGTAGTGGACATGGTGAGTGTGGTCAGATCCTAGATATATTTTAAAGGCAGAGCCAAGGGGTTTCCTGGATTAAGTGTTGCAGAGAAGGGGGGACTCTTCCACTGGAGGAGAAGCTTGGCCAAGTGTATAGAGGAGGAAGAGTGCTCACCCATGTCAGATGCTGCCCAGAGGCCAAGGAGCATGAGGACTGAGAAACAAAAATGGGCAATGTGGATGTCACTGGTGACCTAGAGAGGAGTAAATTTGGTGAAGTTCACCGTAAAAGACACAGTGGAGGCCGGACGCAGTGGCTAATGCTTGTAATCCCAGCCCTTTGGGAGGTTGAGGTGGGTGGATCATGAGATCAGAAGTTCAAGACCAGCCTGGCCAAGATGGTGAAACCCCGTCTCTACTGAAGATACAAAAATTATCCAGGCTTGGTGGCATTCACCTGTAATCCCAGCTACTTGGGAGGCTGAGGCAGTGAATTGCTTGAACTTGGGGTGCAGAGGTTGCAGTGAGCTGAGATCGCACCACTGCACTGCAGCCTGGGTGACAGAGTGAGACTTCATCTCAAAAAAAAAAAAAAAGAAAAAAAGACACAGACACAGTGGAGTGGGTTTAAGAGAGGATAGGAAGAGAATAATTGGAGACAGTGGGTGAACACAATGCTTTCAAGACATTATGTGCCAGGAAAGTGTGATATTGTACTTTAAAATAAGAAGTACACATATTGATCTTCATTCCTAGTTCCTGAAACAGAGCTCTTAATCCCTTGGAATTTCCTGGGTGATAGCTGTGTTAGGCCATTCTTGCATTGCTATAAAGAAATACCTATGACTGGGTAATTTATAAAGAAAAGAGATTTAATTGGCTGAAGGTTCTGCAGGCTGTACAAGCACGGTGCAAGCATCTGCTTGGCTTCTGGAGAGGCCTCAGGGAGTGTTTACTCATGGTTGAAGGCAAGGCAGGAGCTTGAATGTCACATGGTGAAAGAAGGAGCAAGAGAGAGAGAGTGGGGGAGAAGCCACACACTTTAAACAACCAGATCACATGGGAGCTCACTCACTATCACAAGGACAACATTAAGCCATGAGGGATCTGCCTCCATGACCCAATCACCTTCCACCAGGCACCACCTTCAATACTGGGGATTATATTTCAACATGAAATTTAGAGGGGACACATATCCAAACCATATCAATAGAAGTGTATTACTTTTTTTCTAATGAGGTGACCCTTCATGGGCTTCTGGATTTGAGCTGGTCACAAGAAAGACCAGGCCATGATTAGATGCCTGGAACTGTCAGCATCATTGCCATCCTCTGGGAAGGAGAGAAGAGCAGGAGTCTCCTCTTCAGCTTAATTGTGCCTATGTGATGAAGCCTCCATAAAAATCCCTAACCTACTGGGTTTAGAGTGCTTCCAGATTGCTGGACATGGTTGGGGAGGCAGTTCCTGGAGAGTGGTGCACTCAGAAAGGGCACAGAGTGCTGTGCCCCTTTCCTCGGACCTTGTCTTATGCATCTTTTCCATCTGGCTGTTCCTAATTTATATCCTTTTTAATGAACTGCTGATCTATTAAGTAAATGTTTTCCCTAAATTCTGTGAGCCACTCTAGCAAATGACTGAACTCAAGAAGGGAGTATCTAAGAACCTCTGGTTTGTAGCCAACTTGGCCAAAAGTTGTACAGAATCTGTGGACCTACTGCTTGCAACTGATGTCTGAAGTGGAGGACAGTCTTGTGGGACTGACCACTTAACGTGTGGGATCTGATGCCATCTCCAGATAATGTCAGAATTTAGTTAGCTTACAGGAAACCCAGTTTTTTTTTTTCTGCTGAATTGGATTGATGCATGGGGAAAAATCACACATGTCTGGTGTCAGAAGTGAAGTATGGAGAGCATTGATAGTATAGTAGAAGTTTTCTTTTTTCTTCCTATTATACAGAAAGCAAAGCAGCAGAGTGAGAAAAAGGAAGCAGGCAATGAGAGGAAGGAAAATTTGCTCGTTATTTTGTAATGTGGAAGGAATACTTATACATTTGTATGCTAATAAACTAGTAAATACATGTTGACATAGGAGAGACGGAAGAGAATTGCTATAATAATATCTTTGACTAGGAAAGAAGGGATGGAATCCAGTGCTCACGTGGATGACCTGGTTTAGATGGTTGCAGGGGTAGTTCATTTTTAGCAACAAAAAAGAAGGCAGAGCATGTGTATGTAGATGCAGCTAGGGATCTGGAATTTCTCTTCTAATTCTTTCAATTTTATCAGTAAAATAGTACTCACAACAACTGAAAGGACTTTGGGATGATTAATGGATCAATTAATGAATAGTATTTTGTCTGGAATTGGTGAGTTCTTGGTCTCACTGACTTCAAGAATGAAGCTGCGGACCCTCGCGGTGAGTGTTACAGTTCTTAGAGGTGGTGTGTCCGGAGTTTGTTCCTTCTGATGTTCAGATGTGTTCAGTGGTTTCATGGTCTTGCTGGCTTCAGGAGTGAAGCTGCAGACTTCACAGTGAGTGTTACAGCTCATAAAGGCAGTGTGGACCCAAAGAGTGAGCAGCAGCAAGATTTATTGCAAAGAGTGAAAGAACAAAGCTTCCACAGTGTGGTAACGTGACTGATCCCGGAGAAGCCAGCTGGAGCCCCGGGGAGAGTTCTCTTTTCTTTGTGAAGGGCAGGGTGCTCTGAAATGGGTTCACCCCAAGAGAGGGGCCCACCAAGCCCACGCCTATCCAGAACTCTAGCTGACCCATAAGCACCACGTGCAGCCCTGGTTCCTGCCTATGCCTCTCCCTCCACACCTCCCAGCAAGCTGAGGGAGCTGTCTTCAGCCTCAACCAGCCCAGAGAGGGTCCCCCACAGTGCAGTGGTGGGCTGAAAGACTCCCCAAGCATGGCCAGAGTGGACGCTGAGGCTGAGGAGGCACCAAGAGTGAGCGAGGGCTGTGAGGGCTGCCAGCACGCTGTCACCTCTCAATCCCATGTCTAAACAGGACACCCCAACTGCTGTTGGGAATTTGGCTGATGACCGCTCTAGCTACTTCCTGCTGGATGGGGCGATGAAGGGGTCCTGCAGTTGTAGTGTCCTCCAGAGGATAGCTCTCTAGGCCAGTAAAAGTGCCAGTGGGTCGGTCCAGGGGTCCTCGGTATAACTTGTTAGTTGAACTCATTTGGGGTTCCATTTGTAAGACCATCTGTAGCTTGATGGCCTCGATTCTAGAGGAAACAAATTTGACAAGAAGGTTAAAAATACAGGGTCCAAATGCAAGTAACAGCAAGATGGCTGCCACAGAACTAGAAAGGGGAGAAGCCACGTTGCCCAACTCCAGAGGTTGGTATAAGAATTTGAAAGGCAAGAAATTGAAATTTGCCTGATTTCAGAAGCCTTTTCCTGTAAATGCCAGATGGCATCTCATACTATCCCTGACTGGTTAGTGTAAAAACAACACTCTTCCCCTAAGAAGGTGCAGAGTCCTCCTTTCTCAGCTTTGAGGAGGTCTAGGCCTTGGCAGTTTTGGAGAGTCACTGCTGCCAAAGACTCTATTTGGGATTGTAGAGTAAGGATAGATTTTGTTATTTTTTGCAAACTGTCTGAGAGGCAGATATGGGTTGAAGATCCACATGTTGAAGGACCAGAATGCCTGGACTTGAGAAGTGGCCTAAATCTTGGGCCAGTGCCTGACCAAATAGATGAGGGCTATCCCTAAATCCTTGGGGCAAGACCGTCCACATAAGTTGGGATATGTGGTCTGTGAGATCCTCAAAGGCAAAGAGGAACTGGGAGTCAGAGTGCAGGGGAATACAGAAGAAGGCATCCTTGAGGTCCAGAACTGTGAACCATTCTGCTTCCTCTGGTATTTGAGAGGGCAGGTTATAGGGGTTTGGTACAACTGGATACAGAGGAATTACTGCCTCATTGATGAGTCTAAGATCTTGCACTAGTCTCCACTGACCATTTGGTTTTTATACTCCTAGAATTGGGGTGTTGCATGGACTGCTGCATTTCCTTACTAAACCTTGAGCATTTAAATGTTTAACAATATTCTGTAATCCTTTATGAGCTTCAGGCCTTAAGGGATATTGCCTATGAGAAAGAAAAGTGGTGGGATCTTTTAACCTGATTTGGACTAGGCAGGCATTTTTTGCCCTTCCAAATTGTCCTTCCAATGCCCAGACATCAGGGTTGATTCCCTCCTCAAGTAGGGGACAACAAATGGGTAACTTGTTCCCCATATTCATGTAGATAATAGCTCCAGCCTTGGCTAATATATCCCTCCCTAATAAGGATGTGGGACTTTCAGGCATAACAAGAAAGGCATGTGAAAAGAGCAAAGTCTCCCAGTTACAACTGAGAAGGTGGGAGAAATACCTGGTTACAGGCTGTCCCAGGATTCCTCGGATGGTAATGGACCTTGAGGACAGTCATTCAGGACAGGAGATTAACACTGAGAAGGCCACGCCAGTGTCCAGGAGGAAGTCAATTTCCTGGCCCTCAATAGTTAAACATACCCGGGGCTCAGTGAGGGTGATGACACAAGCTGGCGCTTGCCCTGGACACCCTCAATCCTGTTGTTGGATCATCTGGTTGGGGGCTTCTGACTCAGAGAACCTTCATCCTCTGGGGAAGTGCACCTTCCAGTGATTGCCTCAGCATAGTGGACATGGATGAGGGGGCAGCTTGTTTCTCATTGGACAATCTTTTTTAAAGTGTCCTAGTAAGCCACACATATAACAAGCCCTACCGGGTGATTGGCCTGCACCATTTTCTGTCCTCTCTGAACCACCAAGGTTTGTTTGTCTGAGGGCCATGACTAAGGCTGTGGCCTTTCTCTGATTTTGGGCCTGTTCCTCTTGGTCCCTATTATAGAACACTGAGGTTGCCAGGTTTAATAATGCCTCTAGATTTTGTTCAGGGCCCAGGGCTTGCTTTTGGAGCTTTCTCCTGATATCTGTGGCTCATTGGATAATAAATTTATCTTTAAAATCAATTGACCCTCGAGTGATTCAGGTGACAGGGGAGTATATTTTCTTAAGGCCTCCTGTAGCCCTTCGAGGAAGGCAGAAAGATTTTCTTCATTTCCCTGAGTTATGGTGGACATCATTGAATAATTCATGGGCTTTTTTCTAATTCTCCTTGGTCCATCTAGAATACAGGTCAACAGATGTTTACGACTCCAGTCCCCATGATCTGAGTCAAGGTCCCAGTGGGGATCCATACCGGGGATGGCTTGTTGACTGGTAGGGAATTCGTCCCTTTCTTTGGCTGTCATTCTATCATTTACTTGACTAAGATATCAGGTATCTCCAAACTCTCAGGCTGCAGCTAAAGCTGCATTCTTTTCATTAAAGGCCAGCGTTTAATCTAACAGTAGCATGACATCTCTCCAAGCGAGGTCGAAGGTTTGCCCTAGACCCTGCAGGACATCTATGTACCTATCAGGATCATCTGAAAACTTCCCCAGGTCTGCCTTGATCTGCTTTGAATCAGAGAGGGAAGGGGACATGTATCTGGGTTGGGCCAAATTCCCCTCCCCCTACAGCTTGAAGGGGACATAACCTATAGCCTGGGAGTTTTTGTGGTCCTTTGGAGATTTCTTTGCTTATTTCCTTCTGGGCAGGGGAGATTAGAGCAGGATTATCATTAATAGGAAGGGGAGATATAGGGAGGCTGGGGTATGGAGGTAAGCTGAGAGGTCCTCCTGTGGGATGTGAATTGTAAGCTTTGCATAGTTGTGTATTCTCCCTCAATGAAAAGAAAGCTTGGACATAAGGTATTTCACTCCATTTGCCTTCCCTCTTACAGAAAAGGTCAACATGCAGGATAGTATTGTAATTTGTACTTCCCTCAGGTGGCCATTTTTCCCCATCAGAGAGAGAATATTGGGGCCAAGCCATAGTGCAGAAAAAAGAGCCACCTCTTTTTTAGGGTTTGTGGGTCAAATGGGTCCCAATGGCTTAGGATGCATTTCAAGGGTGAGCCTGTTGATGCCTGAGTGTTTCCCATCTGAAAGACAAAACTGCCCACAGTTTTGGTTTGTTTTGTTTCTCCCCCTGCCCAAGAACCTGCAACGGTCCCTGGACACTGCTGGTCAGAATAGTTGCGCTCACTGACGCAGCAGCAGAAACACTAGTTTTCCTCCCAGAGCACATAGAGGACCAAGGAAGCTTGGATTTAGTGGGCCCTTACTGACGCAGTCTTGAAAACCTGCACCCTTGCCTGTCCTCCTAGACCACAAGGAGGACCGACCAAGAAAAGTCGGATTTAGTGGCCCTTACTGGCGCATTCTCAAAAACCTGTTAGAGTCCTAAGCATTCTCCTGTTAGTACTGGGACTTTACCCCTGTCCTATAAAGATGTTATGCCCCTAAAATGAAGTGGAGGGCCATACCCTGAGGGAGGGAAGGGATCTCCAGGGTTGGAAGAGTGACACCTTTTGTCCTCACTTATATGAATAGGAAGGATACAATTCCTGAGGCTCCTCATATCCTAGCTTCAGGAATAGGTTTTGTTAGGCCTGTTAGTCTGAGGAGGGATCCTAAAATTCCAGGTAGTCCCCACTACGATGGGGCTTTGGGCAAAAATTATGTCTTTCTGATTGGTGAGCCCGGGTGCCTAAAGAAGGTAACAGAGTTTATACTAGAAGTCATTATAGGAGAAACTAGAAAAGCACCAGAGACAGGGAGTGATTTTTAGAAGCGGGACTAGCCTCAGAGAAGAGAGGCGAGAGGAAGTTTGTCTGGCAGGCATTAGGACCCAGGGTCAAGGGTCAGGATAGATAGGATAGATGGGCGAGTCTCTCTTGGGTGACATGCCTTTGAGAGTTCTGCTCATGGCTGCAGGGTCAACCAACTTGTTGTTGGGACCCGGGAGCTGCATGGCTTTCCTCTCTGTCAACCCTCAGCTCAGCCCGGAAGTACAGGAAAAGCAGAAGCTGGTTCTAGGCAAACCAATGCTCCCAACTCTGAAGAGTCAGGGGTTGTTAGAGAGCCCTTTCCCAGAAAGCCTGACACCCATGTCTTTAGTCTGGCAGCCATGCTAGTTGCTTTTTACTGGCCGACAGGTGCCCAGTATTTAGCTCCCGAATTCTAAGGAAAAATAGGACAGAATAGTAAGCGAAAGGAGTCCGATGGTACTCACTGCTTGGCGATAGGTGACAGTCTCACTGCTCAGCAATAGGCAATGGTCTCACCACTTGGTGATAGGTGACTGTCTCGCTGCTCAGTGATAGGTGATAGTCCCATCTGGGTCGCCAAAATGTGTCCGAAATTGGTGGGTTCTTGATCTCACTGACTTCAAGAATGAAGCCATGGAAACTCGCGGTCAGTATTACAATTCTTAAAGGTGGCATGTCTGGAGTTTGTTCCTTCTGAGGTTTGGATGTGTTTGGAATTTCTTCCTTCTGGTGGGTTTGTGGTCTCACTTGCTTCAGGAGTGAAGCTGCAGATCTTTGTGGTGAGTGTTACAGCTCATAAAAGCAGCGTGGACCCTAAGAGTGAGCAGCAACAAGATTTATTGCAAAGAGCGAAAGAACAAAGCTTCCACAGTGCGGAAGGGGACCCGAGCGGGTTGCCACTGCTGGCTCGGGCAGCCTGCTTTTATTCTCTTACCTGGCCCCACCCACATCCTGCTGATTGGTCCATTTTACAGAGAGCCGATTGGTCTGTTTTTCAGAGAACTGATTGGTCCATTTTGACAGGGTGCTGACTGGTGCATTTACAATCCCTGAGCTAGACACAAAAGTTCTCCATGTCCCCACTAGATTAGCTAGATACAGAGTACTGATAGGTGTATTTACAAACCCTGACCTAGACACAGAGTGCTGATTGGTGTATTTACAAACCTTGAGCTTGATACAGAGTGCCAATTGGTGTATTCACAATCCCTTAGCTAGACATAAAGGTTCTCCAAGTCCCCACCATATCAGCTAGACACAGAGCACAGACTGGTGCATTTATAAACCTTGAGCTAGACACAGAGTGCTGATTGGTGCATTTACAAACCTTGAGCTAGATACAGAGTGCCAACTGGTGTATTCACAATCCCTAGCTAGACATACAGATTCTCCAAGTCCCCACCAGATTAGCTAGATACAGAGTGCCGATTGGTGCATCCACAAACCCTGAGCTAGACACAGGGTGCTGATTGGTGTGTTTACAATCCCTTAGCTAGATATAAAGGTTCTCCAAGTCCCCACCAGACTCAGGCATCCAGCTGGCTTCACCCAGTGGATCCCACACCAGGGCCGCAGGTGGAGCTGCCTGCCAGTCCTGCGCCATGTGCCTGCACTCCTCAGCCCTTGGGTGATTGATGGGACCAGGCGCCGTGGAGCAGGGGGCGGTGCTCACTGCAGAGGCTTGGGCTGCACAGGAGCCCACGGCAGGGTGGGGGCGGAGGAAGGCCCAGGCATGGCGGGCTACAGGTCCCGAGCCCTGCCCCGCAGGGAGGCAGCTAAGGCCCGGTGAGAAATTGAGTGCAGCGCTGGTGGGCTGGCACTGCTGGGGGACCCAGTGCACCCTCCACAGCTGCTGGCCCAGGTGCTAAGCCCCTCAGTGCCCGGGGCCAGTGGGGCCGGCTGCCCGCTCTGAGTGCAGGGCCCACCAAGCCCACGCCCATCTGGAACTCTAGCTGGCCCGCAAGCGCCAGGCGCAGCCCCGGTTCCTGCCCATGCGTCTCCCTCCACACCTCCTAGCAAGCTGAGGGAGCTGGCTCCATCCTCAACCAGCCTAGAGAGGAGCCCCCACAGCACAGTGGCAGGCTGAAGGACTCCCCGAGCATGGCCAGAGTGGACGCCGAGGCAGAGGAGGCGCCAAGAGCGAACGAGGGCTGTGAGGGCTGCCAGCGTGCTGTCACCTTTCAGTATGGCAAGTGGTGATATTATAGCTCTTCAAAGGTTAGTTCATGCTGAATCAGCTCTCTCACCAGTGCCTGGACATGACAGGAATGAGAGTAGGGGGACATAGATAGAGAGAATTGACTCTAAATTTTGCCAGGAGGTTACTAGTAAGAACTAGGCAGGGCATCAGGGTCCTAATTAAGAAAACTTACAGGTTTTCTTAATTAGGTTACAGGTGCAGTGGCTCACACCTGTAATCCCAGCACTTTGGGAGGCCGAGGTGGGTAAATCACAATGTCAGGAGTTTAAGACCAGCCTGGCCAACATGGCGAAACCCCATCTCTACAAAAATACAAAAAAAATTAGCCAAGCATAGTGGCAGGTGCCTGTAATCCCAGCTACTCAGGAGGCTGAGGCAGGAGAATCACTTGAACCCAAGAGGTGGAGGTTGCAGTGATCCCAGCTACAGAGGAGGCTGAGGCATGAGAATCGCTTGAACCCAGGAGGCAGAGGTTGCAGTGAGCCAAGATCATGCTATTGCACTCCAGCCTGGGCGACACAGTAAGACTCCATCTTGGGAAAAACAAAACAAAACTGGGGCACAGGGTAGGTACTGATTGCAGTAGAGTATAAAATCTGAAAAACACTCAGAAAATCAAGGCAAAGTCATGAGGAAGAACTGAATAAAAAAGGACGATTCAGTTTGGTGTATATGGGATGCTCAGAACCCACCTGAGGAATAGCTAGATCCCAGCAGAAACACTACCTTTGATCCCTCGATTAATATTTTGCTGAGGTGCTGGGAGGGCTGAACTGACATGAGGAAGCCCTTTGTTGCTTAGAGCTTAAGACTGTTGGGATAAACAGAAAATTATGGAACTCAGCTTATTTTTTCTAGTTCTATCTACATAATGCCAAATGGTGAAATCCTATCAATTATGTTAATGTTTTGTCCACACAAGCATGTAAATTAAAGCAAATAGCTAACTGTTGGGCTCATTCCAACATGTTCTCTGACATCTCAAAATAAAACTGTAATTTCTAAGTGTTAGTAAAATGTTGAGATAATGTGTTCCTTTTAAACAATTCAAATGTTTATATACATTGTAACATGTTATTCTATGAGGCAGATAGCATTACATTAGATGAGAAAGCTGTGTGATACAGATACAAAATATCCAAGCTCACAAAGTGGTGAGTGGCAGATTCAAAACACAATTCTGATTTTAATTCAGTGAACACTTACTAAGTTGCTGGGTGTCAGATACTCTGCTTGGTGTTTTGTTTTGGCCTCATTTCTAGACCAATGCTCTTTCTGAATAAAGAGATTGTCTTAGTCAATTCAGGCTGTTATAACAAAGTACTATAAACTGGGTGGCTTATAAACAACCAAAATTTATTTCTCGCAGTTTTGGAGGCTGGAAGTTTGAGATCAAGGTGGCAGCATAGTAGGTTCTGGTGAGGGCCGTCTTTTAGCTTACTCACTGCAGACTTACTGTATCCTCACATGGCAGAAAGAGGGCCAGAGAAGTCTCTGGGGTTCCATTTATAGAAACATTAATCCCATTTATGAGGGCTTCACTCTCATGCCCTAATCTCCTCTCAAACTCCCCACCACTTAATACCATCGCTTTGGGAATTAAGATTTCAACATATGCATTTTGGGGAGACACAAACATTTCATCCATTGCAAAGATCATCTTGAGAAAGTTTCCATCATCAAAATAACTATTTTTTATGCTAAATATTTAGTAATTCATCTCGTATTCATTGAAATCACATTATGAAAATAACGTCTCGTTAAATCTGCAAATATTTCTACAAGGATGGGCTATAACTACTTCTCCTGCAGAATTCCAATGTCATGTTCCATTTTTTTTCTTTAAAATACTATCTGTGCAAGAGTCTTTTATACAATGAAGACTATTTTCAACTTGTTTGTCAATTAAAAATGCCTTGGTGTTCTTGGTAGTAAGGCAATTAATACTAGTGAATTCATGTTCTGCCGTTTCTTCAAGGAATACTCTGTTTTTGCCTGCAGGCTAGTGTGCATAACAGAAAAAAAGAGGCAGTTAGAAAATAGTACTATTTTTGCACCTGCATCCATTTTGTAGGTGAGTGTTTATAGCTACTTTAAATGAGTGTTTTGATAATATGGTGCACTTTGTCATCACTATGCCAGGGCAAGTAATCAGACTCAAGAAAGAGATCTGTGCTTAAAGAAATCTGTCAATAAGTTGACAAAGTTGATTTCTATAAAGCTAATGGGCTTCACCATTTAAGTGCTTGCTTGGGAGACCATTATGAAGACAAAAGTTCTAACAATGCCTGTGGCAATGCTGGCTAAAGCCTCACTTATTTACTGTACTAGTATTTCAAGATCGATATTCCTTTAATTTATATAGTTTGGAACCAAGATAGGACTTTATGTCTCTGAATTACACTGCTATCTGGACAAAGTTGTTTTTAAGAAGGTACATGACTATTTGGAAATTCCATCATGATGTGTGAAACTTGGCATAAGTGATAATAAAACATATATATACACACACACACACACACACACACATATATATATATGGCCTTTCATTAGGAAACATGAGGTTAGAAATTGGTATAGTTGTTAAGTTTGCAGTGTATTGATCAAGTTCTCTGATTCTCCTTTGCCTAATCTTGTTGCTTTTCTGAAACCGGAGTGTGATGCAGGTACTGCATAGTTACTTTAATAAAGAGCTAACACATTAGAGTAAAATCCTAAAGGAATTGTTAGAAACTCTTATTTAAAAGGTGATTTTCAGTTAGAAATCCTAAACAAACGAGAATTGAATGGCCAGCTAGTTCCACTGCTAAAGATAATATGTTTAATAGTTTTTTAAAAAATGTAGGCTTCCTGTAGCTTCCCTTAGTACTTCCACTTCATTTATTTAAATATTTATGCTTTTTAATATTTATTTTATTCATTTTTCTAATAAATAATGTCTCAAAAATCAACATAATATAGAGGCTTACATTGAGAAGTTTTGCTCCTACTTGTTTCTTTCCGTCCCCTATAAGTAACCATTTTTTTCTGTGTGTGTGTGTGTGTGTGTGTGTGTGTGTGTGTGTGTATGTGTGTGTATCCTTTCAGCATTCTTTATGCAGATACAATGAAACCCTAATATGGATGTCTATTTTCTCATCTGCTTATGTACGCTGACCTGAATCTTGAATTTTTCACTGAATCTGATCTTGGAGATCTTCCCATGTCAGTATTTAGAGAGCTTCCTTCTAAAGAGTTGTATAGTATTCCATTGTGTCGGTGTAGCATAATTTTCCTTATTCATGAACATTTGAGTTGTTTCCAATTTTTGCTCTTACAATGTTGCAATAAATAACTGTTTTGCAGTGTGCAAGTAAATTTGTAAGGTAAATTCCTTATTCCTTTCAGATTTGCTACTGCCAGTCAGCCTGTAGTGGAATGAGCATGCAGATAACTACCAGACACCCAGATTACCACATTTAAAAATAATATATTGTCTGTGAAAAAATCATTTCATCTCAAGATGATTTAAGCACTGTATGTTTAATGACCACCCCCCTCAACCAACTGTCATGAAATAATGAAAGAAATATTTAAAAGTCATTGAAGAAACTATGATAGGAGCTGGAAAACAGGAAAGCTGACTGAGAATAAGTCATGTGTCTTCAAGATGCTGTGCAGAGAGGGCCAGAGTGAGGAAAACAAATAGCGCACAATAAAATACATGTCTAGGAAGGCCCTTCTTGGGCATAAGTTAATGCCATCTCTCATAGTAATCTCAACGTCTCCCCTCTCTGAGAATGGCCATGCCTGGAAGTAAGAGGGAGTCATGGGTGCTCAGTGAGGGAGAAGGGGTCATACTTCACTCTATCAGGATTTCAGAAAGTACCAGCAAACCCCAGACTGATTGGGTCACTGTTTCTAAAATTTTCCTCTAGCTTCTCGGTGCTCTTGGAAAAATGTGAAGATTTTTAGCATGACTGACAAGAGCCTGTCTGTCTCTCTTGTCAACTCTTGAGTCATTCTCGCCTTTGGTTATGATATTTCATTTGCACGATCAAATACACGTGCTCCTTTCACACCAAATACTCTTTTAGATCTTTCAAGTCTCAACTTCAGTATCACATTCCTAGAAAAACCTTTTTTCATCCCCTAGACAGAATAAAATATAATTTAAAATGCTTTTAATGTATAATGTAACTTTTTATTATTGTGATAATCACAATCATAATTAGGTAGTTATTAGTGTAATATCTATTTTTCTCACAAGACTGTAGGCTTCATGAAGCCATGAAAATGGATTTATTTTATTTTACTGCTATATTCTCAAGATCCTGTTACATAGTGTATATCTATATACTTTCACATGGTTAAAGTTAAATATTTATAGAAAGCATAATTATTCAAAAAACAACTAGTAAAAGCACTCACACTACTTGGTTGCACTTGGAGTGGACCCTCATTGAAAAGGAGGGCTGCAGACCCAGATAGCTTAGAGATGCTAAACAAATATTAAAAAAATTAAAATGTTTTCTTCATAGCTAGTCTTTGCTATTTAGTTGAAGTTCCTTTTATACGACTCAGGCAAAACCTATAGAAACACCAAGATTTCCTTTTCCCCATCTAGTCTAAATAAAGACATGAACATATCTCTAACAGTGGAAAAGTTTATATCTTTTTTCTCTCTCTCTCTCTCTTTTTTTTTTTTTGAGACCGGGTCTTGCTCTGTTGTCCAGGCTGGCATGCAAAGGTGCAATCATAGCTCACTGTAGCCTTTAATTCATTGGCCCAAGTCATCCTCCCACCTCATCCTCCTTAGCAGGTGGGACTACATGTGCACACCGTCACACCCAGCTGTAAAAAAAAGTTTTGTAGAGAGGGGATCTTTCTATTTTTCCCAAAGTGGCTTTGAACTTCTGGCTTCAAGGGATCCTCCTGCCTTGGCCTCTCAAAACGCTGGAATTACAGCATTGAAAAATTATATGAACTACCATGTCTGGCTGAAAAGTTAATTTCTCTAATGGCTTATAACTACAATAAAATCACTGTACAGGTGACATTATTCATTAATTCAAAGGAAGAAGACAAGTCAGACATGGCTCCTGTGGATCTGACATCTTTAGGAGAAATGACAGTTTTTCTTAAAAAAAACTCAACCAGATTCAAGGAGAACTGGCATTTATATAACCAGAGGAATTAGAAATTAGGAAAAACTTATTTCAGGTGACCCATAAAAACAATAGAATCATTCAACATCAGATACCACAGAAAACTGGATCAGTGAATTGGAAGAGCAGTTCAAGAAATGATCAGAGAATGCAAAGAAAGAAAAAGAGGAGTTATTACAAGGAATGGGGCATATACAACATAGAGAATAGAGCCAGAAAGTCAAATCTAGGCAGAATAACAAATACATAAAACTGTTTCCCAACCATATGAGTATAACAGCCACCCACAAACTTGTTTAAAATTCTGCGTCCTTGGTCTCTCCCCAGAGACACAAGTTCAGTATGTCTGGGATTCAATTTAGGCATATTTATTTTTCAAAATATAAACATTAAATGCTTTTAATGATAAGGAAATTTTGGGAAACACTGCCACAAATGGAAAAAAAACTGAGAACCTGAAAAGAAAATTTAAAATTTTTAAAAAATCACAAAAGATCATTTCCAGGGGTTTAAAGAAGACTTGGTCTTCACAATAAAAAGACCCATAAAATACCAAAAATTAAAATAAAAAGAGACATATTTTAGTAAATCAAATTTCAGAACAAAAGGGGGAAATTATTCTAGCATCCACTCAGAGGTTCTCATAAAAGACTGTGAGTCATTGCCATACTTTTGTAAAACCAAATGCTAGAAGACAAAGAAGATATGTCAACAGAGTTATGGCAGAAGAAATTATGTTTCCTGATAAGCCATTGTTCATTGCAGGAGCAACCTAGAGGCATTTGCAGACAAGCAAAAGCTCAAAAAGAGTTTTATCTGCTTACCTTTCCTGAAATTGTTACATAAAGATGAATGTTAATTAAATATTAGAAATGGGTTTGAGGTAGGAATGATCTCATCACCCAGGTAGTGAGCTTAGTACCCAATAGGTAGTTTTTCAGCTCTTGCTCCCACCTTCTCTCCCCCACCTAGTGGTCCCCAGTATCTATTGTTGCCATCTTTATGTCCATGTATACCCCACGTTTAGCTCTCACTTATAAGTGAGAGCATGAGGTATTTGGTTTTCTGCTCCTGCATTAATTTGCTTAGGATAATGGCCTCCAGCTGTATCTATGTAGCAGCAAAGGACATGATTCTGTTCTTTTTTACTGGATGTGTATATTTCATGGTGTACACATACCACATTTGCTGGTATGTATCCAATCCACTGTTGATGGGCATTTATTGATTCCATGTCTTTGCTATTGTGCATAGTTCTGCGATGAGTGCAGATGTCTTTTGGTAGAAGGATTTATTTTCCTCTGGGTATATACATTTACCCCTTGAATCTAAAATAAAAGTAGAAATTACACACACACACACACACACAAAATAAAAAGAATAATACATCTTTGGAGAAACCCTTTTCTAAATCAGTAACTGGAGTTTAACCAACAATGAAAGAATTGTCTCTGCCAGTCATTACACTGGACAATATGACAGCTAAAGAATTAAGGGTGGCCAATTAAGCCAAATGGAGTTGCTACTGGCTCACCATGTCAAATAAAACCAAATGGGAGCCAAGCCTATGGAGTATTATTTCCCAAATGTACAGCAGGAGACACTAACTGACCTGCAGGACTTGGACAAGGACTCTGTCCATTGGGTATCTGCAGAGCAGGAATAGAAGGGAAGATTCCCTGTCATGGTGTCAGACAGAGAGAAGGATTTTTAGAAATAGAGCAGCCCATATGACTGATGTCCCAAACTATAGATCGCTGGCTAATCTCATCATTTGTTGGTGTCCCTAAGCAGAGTTTTAAAACTTCTATAAATCTAGACTATAAAGGTATCTACTGGTTGATGTGGGAATGAGAGGTAGAAAGAGGGGAAATCTAAAAGTATCAACAGATAAAGACTAAAATGAATATGCAAAAAATAAAATAGTTGTTGGAGTTTTCTATTTTCCAAACTTCTATAATCTTACAACTTTTATAATTTAAAAATAAAGAATTCAGATAAAAAATTTTAAAATTAGAAATAAGAAAAATGTGAACAAATGTTAATGTACCTTAATTTAAATGTCAAAAATATAACATATTAAATTAGAAGATACGTAATATACAAAAAGAAAATAAAGAAAATTACATTCTAGATTTTTTAAAAGACATTACTTTACAAAAACTTGGAGATGGGGTAAAGAAGGAGTTAAAAGTATATTAATCTTTCTCTTTACATGTGGATGTCAATAAATGTTTTTTTACCTTGATAGAGAAATATATGTTAAAATACAATTGAAATTTAAAGGTGACCACCAGTTAGCTGAATACATGCCACCTGGAATAAAGATCTTCCTTTGCCTTTGTACTGGTAGGTATGGTCATGGGTAGGAAATCCTAGAAAGAAGAGAGAAGTAAGGAAGAGCTCCAAATTCTGTGTACAAACTCTTTTCAAAGCCTTGTCTGACTTAGAACTGCACATGTTGGGAGCAAGACTCCAAGGAACCCAGGGGAGCAACAGCTGCTTGAAAGCAAAAAAAAAAAAAAAAAAAAAAAAAAGTTGCACAAAGATCTTGGTAGCTACATGGATATTGGGAAGATAGAGTTTAGGACTTTGATTCCCATCAGCTTAATGATATTTGGAAAACATCTCAGACTGTTCACGGAACCCAGAAGGCCATGGATTAGAAATAAGAATCACATCTCAGGTATAAGGGCAAAATGGAAATGGATTTGTTTTAACAGCCTGACACTACATCTTCATACCAGTAATCTGATCCCCCACTAATTTGTCTGCTAGAACAAAACTTCGTACTTGTCTGAGAAAGACAGGAGAATTTTGTGCTGGAAGCTCAATGGGCAAATGGATCAATAAGATGAAATAGTGCAGAAACAAACCCAAATAAACATATTTCATTAATACCTGGCTCAGTTGTATTTACCAGAAAAGCAAAACAAAACAAAACCCAAAATAGCTAACCTCAAAATGACAGTGGCTTTAACAACTCTGCAATGTGTTATCTAATACAGTAAAATATTTCTGGACATCTGAAGAAACAGAAAAGTGTTACTCATAGCCAAGAGAAAAATATGGTTGATAGAAACAGAATGACTGATCAATCAGATGATGAAATTAGCTGACAAGGACTTTAAAATAGTTACGATTAATTTGTTAACAAACCTACTAAAAAAGATGAAAGTAATGGGAAGAATTTGGGGAACTTCAGAGGAGACATAGAAAGTCAACAAAGGAACCAAATGGAAATTCTAGAGCTAAAAATATACAATATCTAAAATCAAAGATTAATTGCGTTATTAATAAATAATAGAAATAACTGTTTAATTATTTGAAAAGAAAAATAACAATAGACTTCTACCTGACATCTTGTACCAGGACATAAGATTTAAATGTTAAAACATAATTTTGATGTATAAACATATAACATTATAAAATATTTAAAGTAAAACCATAAAATAACACACAAAAATGTTGGTAATATTTATATTTTCTTGAGGTGGAGAAGACCATTCTCAACATGGCCCAAATGTAGAAACTATTTTTTAAAAAAAGAGTGGGCCAGGCACGGTGGCTCACACCTGTAATCCCAGCACTTTGGGAGGCTGAGGGGGGTGGATCACGAGGTCAGGAGATCGAGACCATCCTGGCTAACACGGTGAAACCCGTCTCTACTAAAAAAATACAAAAAAATTAGCCGGGCTTGGTGGCGGGCGCTTGTAGTCCCAGCTACTCGGGAGGCTGAGGCAGGAGAATGGCTGAACCCGAGAGGCGGAGCTTGCAGTGAGCCAAGATCGCGCCACTGCGTTCCAGCCTGGGAAACAGAGTGAGGCTCTGTCTCAAAAAAAAAAAAAAAAAAAAAAAGAGTGAAAGTTTTCACAAAATAAAAATAATTTTATTATAAAAGTCATACTTTTAAAAATTATAATACAAATTATGAACCAGGAAAAGTATTTGCAGCATATATGTGTTACTGGTTTTAATATAAAGATATCAGTTTGGAAAACTGTAAAAATTCTAACATAAAAATGGGCAAAGGACAGAATTTAAATACTTGCAAATTAAGAAATACAAATGTCTGGGAAACATAGTAAATATTCAGTTTCAACAGCAGTAAAGGATGCAACTGAAAACAAATGAGATGCCATTATATGACTGTCAGATTAGGAAGTTTATAAAGTTGAAAAAAAATTTTATAGTGACGTGGGAACCTGGGCTAACATACAATATAGTTCAACTTTTCTAAAAGGCTATTTTTTTTGTGAAGATTTATATCAAAATCATTTAATATGGCATTCCCTTTGACTTAGCATTTCAATTTTAGGGGTATATACAAAATAAACAAATGTGTGAAGATAGATATTCAATAATGTATACATATGTATACTTATAATACGAAAAGAAGGAAACGATCTAAATGCCTTTCTTAGTCTATTTAGGCTGCTGTAACAAAAGACAATGTTACCAACTGGGTAGCTTATAGACAAGAGAAACTGATTTCTCTCAGTCTGAAGACTGGGAAATCCAAGGCCAAGGCAGGGGCAGATTCACCATCTAGTGAGATCAGGCTTTCTCATAGATAGCGCCTCTTGCTGTATCCATGGTGGAAGAAGAAGGACTGCTTCCTGAGAGCCTTCCAAAAGGCTCCACCTTTTAATACCATCACTTTGGAAGTTACTATTTCAACATATGAATTTGCGGGGGTCACATTCTCACCACAACAATGTTCAAAATACAGATTGATTTGCAAGGTGTGATTTATTTATATAACGAGTAAAGCCATTAACAATAACAATATAGATAAATGTTTTTGCCGTGATATCTGTGATGTAAGTGAATCAAAACAGATTTTCAAATAATATGCCTAATACAATCAATCAGTTTTGTTAAAAATAACATTATACATATTCATACATATATATGTTTGTATAGAAACGAGTCTCAGATAATATGCATCAAAATGTTAAACACAGTTACCTATGGGTGATAGAATTACAAGTGATACATTTTATTGTTTATGTGGGTTTCTTAATCAAAATAATAAAAGTTAAAGACAGTTTCTGTAGACTTTTCATGCTCCTCCAGTGTTCTGGCTATATTTTCTGTTTTGAGCTTGTTGAATAAACAATATTTAGAAAAAATGAAGGGTTACTGCCACATAATGATTAGCACTACAGAAAAGCTTCACCTTGAGTTAAATAGTTTTCTGTGGCTGGCCTGTCCATGATGTGTAACACTGAATGTAGAAGAAAATGCTTTTGGAGTTACAAATAACAATTTTTTGGAATAAAATGTATTGTAAGATGGGGACTTCTCGTTCTGTTCTAGTCACTCTGTCCGTTTGGCAATCACTTGCTCTTTTGGGCCATTGTAAGTCTCTGAACAAACAAGAGACAAACTGTGTTCATATTTTGAGTGGCAAGTTTAATTTAGACAATCTGCAAATTTGAGAAAAAGATTCTATCAATTCCCTCTGAGCTTTTTTCACCCTTTCAAATTGGCCAAAGCTGTGCCAGTCTTTCCACAGCCGCGACTGGGCTCAAAAGTGTGTACATAGAGCTCTCTTGGCACAATTCAGCACCAGCATCCAATGGAACTCAGTCAATTGTAAGCCCTCGAGAGCTCCTTTTAGAATCACATCTCTGGTTTCCTGGGTGATGTAGACATCTGCATTCATGTGAGAACAATATACAACTTTGTTACCAGAAGTGTAAACTACTTGAGTTCTGTACAGGAAGGAAGAAAATCAGAACATGCATAGCACTTAGATGAAGATTCTGGTGGAAAATGTGGGAAATTAAGCTGACAATTTATTTTGTGCTGAAATATTAAAATTAAATATCCATAGGGACAGTGAAATCAAAGCATAATGCCTAAGTAAACCTCTTTCCTCTCTGCATAGTTTGGAAATAAACCTCTAGTGGATAATCCCAGGCAACTTTTAGCTATTTATTTTCTAAAGTTAAAAAAATGTTATTACAGGTAGTTTTTGCTTTGCACAGTAGTGCAGGAACGTTAAACAGCCATGCATACTGAAACCACACAAAGGAATCTTAACAATAAATGGGAAATTTTATCATGTTCTGTGACCATTAGAAATTGTTGTCAAAGCATTGGAAACACTCTTACTGTTGGTCTTAAGTTTCTAGGGAAATTCTTTAAAAATAATAAAATTAATATTTACTTAGTACACAATCTATAATATTGGGAACATTAATAATTAACATGTTTCATTTCTTTGTAAAAAGTTTATCAAGGGTAGTTTGAACTGTGTTGCTTGATTTATTGTCATTATATAACTTATAATATAAAGTGAACAACTTTCTATGCCTGAGCCAATTGTCATATTTCTTTCCTTAGATTTACTTGGATCAGCTTTCAACTCGTTATCCTTTGCTCTTTTAATGTTGGAAATGTCACCAAGATTTCCTTTAATAGGAAGTGCTTGACAGCATGACGTCCTCTGAGACATCATCATCTTACTTTTCTCATGTATGTCCATAGCTTCACCTTCACTATATTCTCTTTTTAAATTTTTTAAAGTGACAGATAATTACATGTTTTTATGGTATACAACAAGATGTTCTGAAGTACACATGCATTGTGGAATGATTAAATCTAGCTAATTAATAAATGCATTACCTCACATAGATATTATTTTGTGGTGAGAGCACTTAACATTCAGACTCTCTTTACATTTTTTTTTTCTTTAACTTTTATTTTAGGTTTTGGGATATTTGTACAGGTTTGTTATATAGTTAAATTGCGTGTTGTGGGGGTTTTGTGTACAGATTATTTCATCACTCAGGTTATAAGCATAGTACCTGATAGGTAGTTTTTTGATCCTCACCCTCCTCCCACCCACAAGTAGGCCCTGGTATCTTATTTGTGTCCATATGTACCCTATGTTTAGCTTCCACTTACAAGTGAGAATATGTGGTATTTGGTTTTCTGTCCCTGTGTTAGTTTACTTAGGATAATGGCCTCTAGCTCCATTCATGTTGCTGCAAATGACATGATCTCATTCTTTTTTATGGCTGCATAATATTCCATTGTGTATATGTACCACATTTTCTTTATCCAGTCTACTGTTTATGGTCATTTAGGTTTATTCCATGTCTTTACTATTGTAAATAGTGCTGCGATGAACATACACGTGCATGTGTCTTTATGGCAGAACATTTTATAATCCTTTGGGTATATACCCAATAATGGGATTGCTGGGTCAAGTGGTATTTCTGTTTCTAAGTTCTTTCAGAAATTGCCAAACCGTTTTTCACAATGGCTGAACTAATTTACATTTCCAAAATGTATAAGTATTCCATTTTCTCTGCAACCTTGCCAACATCTCTTATTTTTTTGACTTTTTACTAATGGCCAGTCTAACTGATGTGAGATGGTGTCTCATTGTTGTTTTCATTTGTATTTCTCTAATTATTAGTGATGTTGGAACAAGACAACTATGCCCTCTCTCAACATTCATATTCAACATAGTACTAAAAGTCCTGGCCAGAGCATTCTAGCAAGAGAAGGAAATAAAAGGTATCCAAATAAGAAGGAAGGAAGTCAAACTATCCCTGTTTACAGAGGATGTGATTCTATACTTAGAAAACCCCATAGTCTCAGTCCAAAAGCTCCTTGATCTGATAAACATCTTCAGCAAAGTTTCAGTATACAAAGTCAATGTAGAAAAATCAGTAGCATTCCTATATACCAACAACATCCAAGCTGAGAGCGAAATCCAAAACACAATCTCATTCATAATAGCCACAAATGAATAAAATACCTAGGAATACAGCTAACCAGGGAGGTGAAAGATACGTACAATGAGAATTACAAAACATTGCTCAAATAAGTCAGAGATAGCACAAATAAGTGGAAAAACATTACGTGCTTATGGAAAGGAAAAATCAATATTGTTACAATGGCCATGCTGCCCAAAGCAATTTATAGACTCAATGCTATTCCTATCAAACTAACAATTACATTCTCTACAGAATTAGGAAAAACTATTTTAAAATTCACATGGAACCAAAAAAGAGCCCAAATAGCCAAGACAATCCTAAGCAAAAGGAATAAAGCTGGAGGCAGCACATTATCTGACTTCAAACTATAACACAAGGCTACAGTATCCAAAACATTATGGTACTGGTATAAAAACAGTCACATAGACCAATGGAAAAGAATAGAGAGCCCAGAAATAAGGCCACACATCTACGACCATCTGATTTTGACAAAGCTGACAAAAACAAGCAATGGGGAAAAGACTCCTTCTTCAACAAATGGTGTTGGGATAACTGGCCAGCCATATGCAGAAGATTGAAACTGGACCTCTTCTTTACACCATACACAAGAATCATTTCAAGGTGGATTAAAGACTTAAATGTAAAACCCCGAACTATAAAAACCCTGGAAGATAACCTAGGAGATACTAGTCTGTGCATAAGACTGGGGAAAGATTTCATGATGAAAATTTGAAAAGCAATTGCAACAAAAACAAAAATTGATAAATAGGACCTAATTAAACCAAAGAGCTTCTGCACAGTGAAAGAAACCATTAGCAGAGTAAAAAGACAGTCTAAGAGTGGGAGGAAATTTCTGAGAGCTGTGCATCTGACAAAGTTCTAATATCCATGATAGGGAATTTAACAAATTCAAAAGCAAAAAAACAAATAACCCCATTAAAAAGTGGGCAAAAGATGTGAACAGCCACTTTTCAAATGAAGACATACACGTGGCCAACAAGCATGTGAAAAAATGCTCTCTTTACATTTTTCAGGAATAAAATATATTGCGAATAACTATAGTTAACTCTTCTATACATTAGATTTCTTAAAAATTATTTCTCTCAACTATAATTATTCTATCCTTTGACCAACCTCTCTGCAATCTCATGTCCCCCAACCACCCTAGCCTCTGATAAACACCATTCTACTTTCTAGTTCTATGGGATCAACTTTTTTAGATTTCACATATGGGTGATATCATGTGCTATTTGCCTTTCTATTCCTGGTTTATTTCACTTAGTATAATGTATTCCAGATTTAGCCAGGTTGTCACAAATGGCAAGATTTCATTCATTTTTATAGCCGAATAGTATTCCATTGCACGTATAACCACATTTCCTTCATCCATTCATCTGTTGATGGATACATAGGTTGAATCCATATCTTGGCTATTGTGAATGTTGCTGAAATAAACTTAGATAGTGCAGATGATGGCAGCAGCATCCCGTCTGCAGTGGCCACTGCGAAGATGCTGGCTACAGTGGAGAAGGTGCAGCCAGGGCTGCGAGCTCCACAGAGCTAGCAGAAGCCCCGATCTCTTCTGAGTTGTGAGGGTGAGAGCCCCACCCTCCTGGGCACAGCTGTAGCCACCCAGCTCCTGCTGCAGACTGGGCTTTCCTGTGCTCTTGGGGGCCTGGGAAACCCCCCTGCCCCCACAGACTCAGAAATGCCTGGTCCTGCCACCCATCTTGTCCATACACTTGGGACAGTGCTGAGGTAACGCCTAAGGTTTTTGCCTAGCCACACCATAGAATTGGTGTGGCGGCTGACCATGGCGAGTGATGGAGACCCGGACCTATAGAGAGAAAAAGCTGTAGGCTTTATTGAGCAGAGTGAAAGTACAGAGCTTCCATAGTGTGGAAGGGGTCCAGAATGGGTAGCCAGAGTTAGATTATATGACTGCCTTGTAAACTTTTTAAGGCGGGAAATACGTGGGGCAGGAATATCTTACCAGAATGAGAAACAAAGGCAATTAACCATTTGTGACATGTCTTAGATCTTGAGGAAAACCAGAATTGCAACTTAGGTTTTATCTACTTTATGACCTTGCAGCAGCATGGCAATGGTGACAGGATCTTACAGGACTTTGTTACAAAGTACGTTTTCAAGGAATTGGAATTGGGATGATAGATAAAGTCCACTGGTCACAGAAAAACAGGCAGTTAACATTCTTTTTAGTTTAGTTTCAGAGGAGGAGGAAGGCCGGGGGGGGACACAGAGAAATTTACAGCAAAATTTTCACTGTTTATAGCTTTCTTGGGGAAGAAATCACATGCACAAATCCTGGTGTTAGGAATTTTTTAAGCATATATCTTCAATATTATTCATCCAGGACTGAAGTAAGCCCTGATGCAGGAAATGAGTGAGTTTCACAGCTTTCTGAGACCCTAGTCAACCCAGGAAGCCCAGGTGGCCCCACCCCGTCACTGCTCTGGGCTCTGATGAGCATGGGACGGAGGCAAAGGGGGAGTTGATGGTGCCTCAGCACAGGCCTGCAGGTACCCCTTGTTAGGAACAGTTTGGGCACTGGGGATGACAGGTTGATGGCAGTGAGAGGCAGAAAGGCTCCTGGGCTTAAAGGGACAGGTCCCAGCCAAGCCCCACCTTCAGGCCTAGGACTGATGGCCTGAAACCTAGGGGGTCAGGCTGCCAGTTCCCTGGACCAGAGTGAGAACTTAATGGGGCTTTTTCTAGGCCTGTCCATGGCCAGCTATGGACCAATAAGCACCCACTTCCTGCCCTCTGAAGCTCACAAAAAGCCCAGAGTTAGCCAAACTTTGGCAGACATCCCAACAATCTGCCTGCAGGGAGGAGCTAGGCACTGTGGGTCTCCTCTCAGCTGAGAGCTGAGCAGACATAGGGATGACCTGCCTGTGGAAAGGCTCCTGAGAGCTGTACTGTCACTCAATAAAACATCTCTTTGTCTCACTCACCCTCCAGTTGTCTGTGTACCTCATTCTTCCTGCACGTGGGACAAGAACGTAGGACCTACTGTGTCCAGAATTTGTGGGTTCTTGGTCTGCTGACTTCAAGAATTAAGCCGCAGACCCTCGCAGTGAGTGTTACAGTTCTTTAAGATGGTGTGTCTGGAGTTTGTTCCTTCTGACGTTGGGACATGTCCAGAGTTTCTTCCTTCTGGTGGGTTCGTGGTCTCACTGACTTCAGGAGTGAAGCTGCATACCTTTGCGGTGAGTGCTACAGTTCATAAAAGTGGCATGGACACAAAGAGTGTGCAGCAGCAAGATTTATTGCAAAAAGGGAAAGAACAAAGCTTCCACAACGTGGAAGAGGACAAAGTCAGTTGTCTCTGCTGGCTCAAGTGGCCTGCTTTTATTCCCTTATTTAGCCCCACCCACATCCTGCTGATTGGTCCATTTTACAGAGTGCTGATTGGTCCGTTTTTACAGAGTGCTGATGTTGTGTTTACAAAACTTTAGCTAGACACAGCACTGATTGATGCATTTACAATCCTTTAGCTAGACAGAAAAGTTCTCCAAGTCCCCTACCCCATTAGACACAAAGCACTGTTGGTGCATTTACAAACTTTTAGCTAGACACAGAGTGCTGATTGGTGCATTTACAATCCTTTGGCTAGACAGAAAAGTTCTCCAAGTCCCCACCGGACACAGAAGCCCAGGCAGCTTCACCTCTCACTGCCAAATGGTGGGACTGAAAGAGCTGTAACACAAACAGAGCTGAAACATGCCCCCTTCCTTGCCACTTTGCAGGTGACAAGATGGAGAGAAGAGAGAAGGAGAGAACTGTGACCCTTCTGGGAACCCAGACATAGGAGCTTCCTGAGCCAGGGCTGTGACGCCCTCTTTCGGGTTCTGCAGTTCCTGGCATCTGCAATCTTCCAGGCACCACTACCTTCCCCAGTGCCAGCAGTGGAAGCCACTTGGAATATGCCTGGTCTAGCCACATTCTTGCAGGGAGCCAGCACCCGTGCCGGCGCCTGGATCTGCCTGCTGTGTGCAGGTGCCAGACCCCATGCTTGCTCATTCACGCACTGCGCCTTTGCCACTCCATGCCTGGCTTGCCCTTGGCAGGCATAGGATCTGGGCCAATAGTGTGAGCTGATCACAGGCTGCCGGGCCAAGTGGGCAGAGCAAACCCAGTGGGCCTGAGCAAAACTTGGATAAAGGCACCACTAGCTACAAAGTTTTCTGGCTGGTGAAGTGACACCCCAAGGATCTTGTGACACAGATATCTTTTCAACATACTCATTTCATTTTCTCTGCATATATATTGAGTAGTGGGAGTGCTGGATCTTATGGTACTTCTGTTTTTAATTTTTTGAGCAATCTCCATACTGTTCTCCATAATGCTGCCATTGTAGGGTTCTTAATTGGCCTAATTTCTTTCTTTCTTTCTTTCTTTTTTTTTTTGAGATGGAGTCTTGCTCTGTCACCCAGGCTGGAGTGCAGTGGCGTGATCTTGGCTCACTGCAAGCTCCGCCTCCCAGGTTCACGCCATTTTCCTGCCTCAGCCACCCGAGTAGCTGGGACTACAGGTGCCCGCCACCACACCTGGATAATTTTTTGTGTTTTTAGTAGAGACAGGGTTTCACGGTGTTATTAATTGACCTAATTTCAATTATCTTGCATTTCAGGGAATAGAATGGTCTGAAAAGAGGGAGACATGATGGAATGACTGGTTGGTGGAACAGTCAAAACACACACAATATTTATCAATTAAGTTTGCCCCATTTTATAGGTGTGGTTCATGGTGCCCCAAAACAATTACAATAATAACATCAAAGATCACTCATCACAGATCACGCTTACAGATATAATAATAATAATCATATAGTGTGAAATATTGCAAGTATTAACAAAATGTGACACAGAGATATAAAGTGAACACATGCTGTTGGAAAAATGACACCAATATATTTGCTCAATGCCAGGTTGCCCCAAACCTTCAATTTGTAAAAAATGCAATATCTGCAAAGTGCTGATTGGTCCATTTTGCAAAGTGCAAAATGTTAAGTGCAGTGAAGCAATGTATACCTGTATTTGAGTCTTGTTGTTTAATCTATTCAGCTACTTAACGCTTTTTCATTGAAGAATTTAATCTATTTACATTTAAGGTAATTATCGATACGTAACGACCTATCACTGCCATTTTTTTAACTGTTTTCCAGTTGTTTTCTAGATCCTTTTTTCCCCCCTCCCTTACTATTTTCTTTTGTGGTTAAGTCATTTACTCTAGTAGTATGTTTTGATTCCTTGCTTTTTATTTCCAGTGTATCTATTATAGGTTTTTGCTTTGCGGTTACTGTTATGTTTACCAAAAACATAACAGGTTGTTTTAAACTGGTAACAACTTAACTTTGATCACAAAAGTAAACCTCTGCACTTTAACTCCACTCCCTCTCATAGTTTGAATTCTTTGTGTCACAATTTACAAACTTCTTATATTATACGTTCCTCAACCACTCGTTTTAGCTATTATTATTTTAAAATATTTTATCTTTTAATCTTCATACTAGAGAGATAGGTGGTTTACATAACACAATTACAATATTAGCATATTCTAAGTTTTACCATGTACTTACTTTTACCAGTGATCTTTATATTTACAAGGATTTTAATGTTACTCGTTAGCTTTTTTTTTTTTCAATTTGAAGAGCTTCCTTTAGCATTTCTTGTAAAATAGGAAAATAGGTCTGATGGTGATGAACTCCCTCAGCTTTTGTTTGTCTGGAATAGTCTTTATCTCCCTTTCATTTTTGAAGGATAGCTTTGCTTTACAGTATTCTTTGTTGGCAATTTTTTGCCTCTAAGACTTTGACTATATCATCTCACTCTCTTCAGGCCTGTAAGGTTTCTTTATTTTATTATTTTATTTGCAAAAGATAGTCTCGTTTTATTGTCCAGGCTGGAGTGTAGTGGTGTGACCTTGGCTCACTGCAACCTCCACCTCCCAGGTTCAAGTGATTCTTGTCCCTCAGCCTCCCAAGTAGTTGGGATTACAGGCATATGCCAACACACCCAACTAATTTTTAAATTATTTTTAGTAGAGATGGGGTTTTGCCATGTTGGCCAGGCTGGTATCAAACTCTTGGCCTCAAGTGATCTACCCACCTTGGCCTCCCAAAGTTCTGGGATTACAGGCATGAGTAACCATGCCTGTCCCTGGGCTGTAAGATTTCTGCTGAGACATATGCTGCTAGGTATATTGGAACTCCTCTACACGTTATTTGTTTTTCTCTCTTGCTGCTTTCAGGATGCTTTCTTTGTCTTTGAGTTTTGTCAGTTTAATTGTAACATGTCTTGGAGTAGCTTTATTTGAATTGAATTTGATTGATGGTCTTTGACATTTCTATACCTGGATATTTATCTTTTTCCAGATTTGGAAAAGTTTTGCTATTATTTCCTTAAATAAGCTTTCTACCCCCTTTGTCTTTCTCCACTCTCTCTTGAACTCAATGACTAGAAAATTTGCTCTTTTGGTGTTGTCCCATAAATCCCACCAGATATCTTTGTTCCTTTTCATTTTTTTTTCTTTTGTCTCCCTGTCTGTTTTCAAATAGTCTATCTTTAAGCTCACTGATTCTTTCTTCTGCTCAATTTGGCTATTAATGAAATATACTACATTTTTTATTTTGTTCATTGTATTTTTTTCATATATAGGATTTCTTTTTGATATTTTTATTATTTCAGTCTCTATTATATATCTCTGATAAATTTTTGAATTCTTTATTTATATTTTCTGGAACTTTACTGAATTTACTTTAAAAAGTTATTTTGAATTACTTGTTAGGCAGCTTGTACATCTTCGTCTCTTTAGGGTCAGTCATTGGCATATCATTTCGTTTGGTGAGGTCATATTTCCCTCATTGTTCCTGATACTTTTGGTTCTTCATAGATGTCTGCACATTGAATAGAAGGGTATTTATTTCATCTTTGCAGCCTGCCTCTGTCTGTGACTACTTTTCTACAGTAGACCTGACTAGAAACTTTGAGCAGACCATTTGTTTTGGTCTCCAAGCCTATCATTGCCATAGCCGTTGTAGCACTAGAGAGTGGTTTAAACCGGCATCTGCTATGGCCAGCAGCAAGGTTCACATGTTGATTGCTGTGGGCCCCACTCCCATTCTTCATTTAGAATTGACTCCTGGTCGACTAGCCCTGCTAACATTCCCAATATTTCCAGAGCGAGCCACCTGTAAAGTGTCACAGAATGGTGAGGAAGTCAAATGTCTTTCTCCAATTTACACTTTCCACTGTAGAAACCACCGTCAGTCCAGAAGAATTCTCCACAAGTGGCACTGTATGTGCTTAGAGGAGGGGTGTGATGATTAAGGAGAACTATTTCCCTTACTCTCTGATTGCTATTTTTCTTGGCTCCATTGATCCAAGGGAATATCACAGCTTTACTTCGAAGTTCTGGGATATTCAGGATGGTAATCTTGACTTTAGATAGTTGCTAGTTTTATTTTCTTGGTGGGGAACAGAAACCAGAGAACTCCTACTTTGCAATTTTGTTGATGTCATTTTTCAGTATGTTTCCTGGCTTCACATCTAGAGCCTTCCTAAAGGTGGCATTGGCAACATTCCTACAATTATTGATGAGTCCACTCAAGTTTGATTCAGATTTCACTCCCAGTGTTATTACTCTTGATTTCTTTGGTGCACTTCCATATTTGTTGGCCAATTTTTTCTTTCTAGTATCTATTTTTGTAATATGTCTCATGGATTTAAAACTGAGAGACAAGTAGGCAACATAAGCACATGCTTTGCTATGTCAGAACTGAATTTTTATGCAATGAACAATCACCAATAAACTTTGATAAAAGTGACATGATTGGTCATGGATCATGATGCACCTAGTGATTTGTGGAGTGAAAATCTAGCAGTGAAGCACTTTATGTGATTACTCACAGTTAATATGCCATGGGAACTAAAATTTGAATGGTATTATCGACAGGCTGATGTTATTTAATGAATCTGTAGCAACTAGAATTTTTGCAAGGCAAGAAGAACAGGTTCTGAATCAAAATTATGGTCTCAAAACTTAGGTAAGAGGAAGCAAAAGTCTGTAGAAAAATCGGAGCTGCTTTTAAACTTCGGGTGACATAATTGTTCTAAATTATTTTATCAGTAGCTGTGAGCTGAAGAACAAATAATTTTTGTGGCAGTACAATTCAAAAGATTGAGTTGCATTAATAGAGATGATACACACGTGGACTATAGCTTATATGAACCAAAACTGACATCAGAGTAAGCTGATTGATGTATTTATGGCAATAAAAATAGTTGCTTGTCTCTGAATCATGAGAAGGAAAGAAGGAAAATAGTTGGAAAAAACGGTGGGGTGATTCTGAACATCATAAGAAAAGTACAGATACTCTGATTTCAACAATCCAATGTTAAAGGCTGATTACATTAAAATTTTCTTCCATAACTTATTTTTCTTTTGTAGTACAGTAAATTATTTTTTCAGGGTCTACATATTATGCCAAAATAGAACATACTTTAAAAAAATTTAGTGGTGATTCAGGGGGAGGAGCCAAGATGGTCGAATAGGAACAGCTCCGGTCTACAGCCCCCAGCGTGAGCGACGCAGAAGATGGGTGATTTCTGCATTTCCATCTGAGGTACTGGGTTCATCTCACTGGGGAATGTCAGACAGTGGGCGCAGGTCAGTGGGTGGGCGCACCTTGCACAAGCTGAAGCAGGGCGAGGCATTGCCTCACTCGGGAAGCACAAGGGGTCAGGGAGTTCCCTTTCCTAGTCAAAGAAAGGGGTGACGGAAGGCACCTGGAAAATCAGGCCACTCCCACCCGAATACTGCGCTTTTCTGACGGGCTTAAAAAACGGCGCACCATGAGATTATATCCTGCACTTGGCTCGGAGGGTCCTACGACCACGGAGTCTCGCTGATTGCTAGCACAGCAGTCTGAGACCAAACTGCAAGGTGGCAGCGAGGCTGGGGGAGGGGTGCCCGCCATTGCCCAGGCTTGCTTAGGTAAACAAAGCAGCCCAGAAGCTCCAACTGGGTGGAGCCCACCACAGTTCAAGGAGGCCTGCCTGCTTCTGTAGGCTCCACCTCTGGGGGCAGGGAACAGAAAAACAAAAAGACAGCAATAACCTCTGCAGACTTAAATGTCCCTGTCTGACAGCTTTGAAGAGAGCAGTGGTTCTCCCAGTACACAGCTGGAGATCTGAGAAGGGGTAGACTGCCTCCTCAAATGGGTGCCTGACCCCTGACCCCCGAGCAGCCTAACTGGGAGGCACCCCCCAACAGGGGCACACTGACACCTCACACAGCAGGGTACTCCAACAGACCTGCAGCTGAGGGTCCTGTCTGTTAGAAGGAAAACTAACAAACAGAAAGGACATTCACACCAAAAAACCATCTGTACATCACCATCATCAAAGACCAAAAGTAGATAAAACCACAAAGATGGGGAAAAAACAGAATAGAAAAGCTGGAAACTCTAAAAAGCAGAGCACCTCTCCTCCTCCAAAGGAATGCAGTTCCTCACCAGCAACGGAACAAAGCTGGATGGAGAATGACTTTGATGAGTTGAGAGAAGAAGGCTTCAGATGATCAAATTACTCTGAGCTATGGTAGGACATTCAAACCAAAGGCAAAGAAGTTGAAAACTTTGAAAAAAATTTAGAAGAATGTATAACGAGAATAACCAATACAGAGAAGTGCTTAAAGGAGCTGATGGAGATGAAAACCAAGGCTCGAGAACTACGTGAAGAATGCAGAAGCCTCAGGAGCCGATGCGATCAACTGGAAGAAAGGGTATCAGCAATGGAAGATGAAATGAATGAAATGAAGCAAGAAGGGAAGTTTAGAAAAAAAAGAACAAAAAGAAATGAGCAGAGCCTCCAAGAAATATGGGACTATGTGAAAAGACCAAATCTACGTCTGATTGGTGTACCTGAAAGTGACGGGGAGAATGGAACCAAGTTGGAAAACACTCTGCAGGATATTATCCAGGAGAACTTCCCCAATCTAGCAAGGAAGGCCAACGTTCAGATTCAGGAAATACAGAGAACGCCACAAAGATACTCCTCCAGAAGAGCAACTCCAAGACACATAATTGTCAGATTCACCAAAGTTGAAATGAAGGAAAAAATGTTAAGGGCAGCCAGAGAGAAAGGTTGGGTTACCCTCAAAGGGAAGCCCATCAGACTAACAGCAGATCTCTTGGCAGAAACCCTACAAGCCAGAAGAGAGTGGGGGCCAATATTCAACATTCTTAAAGAAAAGAATTTTCAACCCAGAATTTCATATCCAGCCAAACTAAGCTTCATAAGTGAAGGAGAAATTAAATACTTTATAGACAAGCAAATGCTGAGAGATTTTGTCACCACCAGGCCTGCCCTAAAAGAGCTCCTGAAGGAAGCGCTAAACATGGAAAGGAACAAACAGTACCAGCTGCTGCAAAATCATGCCAAAATGTATAGACCATCGAGACTAGGAAGAAACTTCATCAACTAATGAGCAAAATAACCAGCTAACATCATAATGACAGGATCAAATTCACACATAACAATATTAACTTTAAATGTAAATGGACTAAATGCTCCAATTAAAAGACACAGACTGGCAAATTGGATAAAGAGTCAAGACCCATCAGTGTGCTGTATTCAGGAAACCCATCTCACATGCAGAGACACACATAGGCTCAAAATAAAAGGATGGAGGAAAATCTACCAAGCAAATGGAAAACAAAAAAAGGCAGGGGTTGCAATCCTAGTCTCGGATAAAACAGACTTTAAACCAACAAAGATCAAAAGAGACAAAGTAGGCCATTACATAATGGTAGAGGGATCAATTCAACAAGAAGAGCTAACTATCCTAAATATATATGCACACAACACAGGAACACCCAGATTCATAAAGCAAGTCCTGAGTGACCTACAAAGAGACTTAGACTCCCACACATTAATAATGGGAGACTTTAACATCCCACTGTCAACATTAGACAGATCAACGAGACAGAAAGTCAACAACAATACGCAGGAATTGAACTCAGCTCTGCACCAAGCAGACCTAATAGACATCTACAGAACTCTCCACCCAAAATCAACAGAATATACATTTTTTTCAGCACCACACTGCACCTATTCCAAAATTGACCACATAGTTGGAAGTAAAGCTCTCCTCAGCAAAAGTAAAAGAACAGAAATTATAACAAACTATCTCTCAGACCACAGTGCAATCAAACTAGAACTCAGGATTAAGAATCTCACTCAAAACTGCTCAACTACATGGGAACTGAACAACCTGCTCCTGAATGACTACTGGATAAATAATGAAATGAAGGCAGAAATAAAGATGTTCTTTGAAACCAATGAGAACAAAGACACAACACACCAGAATCTCTGGGATGCATTCAAAGCAGTGTGTAGAGGGAAATTTATAGCACTAAAATGCCCACAAGAGAAAGCAGGAAAGATCCAAAATTGACACCTTAAAATCACAATTAAAAGAACTAGAAAAGCAAGAGCAAACACATTCAAAAGCTAGCAGAAGGCAAGAAATAACTAAGATCAGAGCAGAACTGAAGGAAATAGAGACACAAAAAACCCTTCAAAAAATTAATGAATCCAGGAACTGACTTTTTGAAAGGATCAACAAAATAGATAGATTGCTAGCAAGACCAAAAAAGAAAAAAAGAGAGAAGAATCAAATAGACGTAATAAAAAATGATAAAGTGGATATCACCACCGATCCCACAGAAATACAAACTACCATCAGAGAATACTACAAACACCTCTACGCAAATAAACTAGAAAATCTAGAAGAAATGGATACATTCCTCGACACATACACTCTCCCAAGACTAAACCAGGAAGAAGTTGAATCTCTGAATAGACCAATAACAGGATCTGAAATTGTGGCAATAATCAATAGCTTACCAACCAAAAAGAGTCCAGGACCAGATGGATTCACAGTCGAATTCTAACAGAGGCACAAGGAGGAATTGGTACCATTCCTTCTGAAACTATTCCAATCAATAGAAAAAGAGGGAATCCTCCCTAACTCATTTTATGAGGCCAGCATCATTCTGATACCAAAGCCTGGCAGAGACACAACCAAAAAAGAGAATTTTAGACCAATATCCTTGATGAACATTGATGCAAAAATCCTCAATAAAATACTGGTAAAACGAATCCAGCAGCACATCAGAAAGCTTACCCACCATGATCAAGTGGGCTTCATCCCTGGGATGCAAGGCTGGTTCAATATACGCAAATCAATAAATGTAATCCAGCATATAAACAGAGCCAAAGACAAAAAACATGATTATCTCAATAGATGCAGAAAAGGCCTTTGACAAAATTCAACAACCCTTCATGCTAAAAACTCTCAATAAATTAGGTATTGATGGGACCTATTTCAAAATAATAAGAGCTATCTATGACAAACCCACAGCCAATATCATACTGAATGGGCAAAAACTGGAAGCATTCCCTTTGAAAACTGGCACAAGACAGGGATGCCCTCTCTCACTGCTCCTATTCAACATAGTGTTGGAAGTTCTGGCCAGGGCAATCAGGCAGGAGAAGGAAATAAAGGGTATTCAATTAGGAAAAGAGGAAGTCAAATTGTCCCTGTTTGCAGATGACATGTTTGTATATCCAGAAAACCCCATTGTCTCAGCCCAAAATCTCCTTAAGCTGATAAGCAACTTCAGCAAAGTCTCAGGATACAAAATCAATGTACAAAAATCACAAGCATTCTTATACACCAATAACAGACAAACAGAGAGCCAAATCAGAGTGAACTCCCATTCACAATTGCTTCAAAGAGAATAAAATACCTAGGAATCCAACTTAGAAGGGATGTGAAGGACCTCTTCAAGGAGAACTACAAACACAGCTCAATGAAATAAAAGAGGACACAAACAAATGGAAGAACATTCCATGCTCATGGGTAGGAAGAATCAATATGGTGAAAATGGCCATACTGCCCAAGGTAATTTATAGATTCAATGCCATCCCCATCAAGCTACCAATGCCTTTCTTCACAGAATTGGAAAAAACTACTTTAAAGTTCATATGGAACCAAAAAAGAGCCCGCATCGCCAAGTCAATCCTAAGCCAAAAGAACAAAGCTGGAGGCATCACACTACCTGACTTCAAACTATACTACAAGTCTACAGTAACCAAAAAAGCATGGTACTGGTACCAAAACAGAGATATAGATCAATGGAACAGAACAGAGCCCTCAGAAATAATGCCGCATATCTATAACTATCTGATCTTTGACAAACCTGACAAAAACAAGCAATGGGGAAAGGATTCCCTATTTAATAAATGGTGCTGGGAATATTGGCTAGCCATATGTAGAAAGCTGAAACTGGATCCCTTCCTTACACCTTATACAAAAATCAATTCAAGATGAATTAAAGACTTAAACGTTAGACCTAAAACCATAAAAACCCTAGAAGAAAACCTAGGCATTACCATTCAGGACATAGGCATGGGCAAGGACTTCAGGTCTAAAACACCAAAAGCAATGGCAACAAAAGCCAAAATTGACAAATGGGATCTAATTAAACTCAGGAGCTTCTGCACAGCAAAAGAAACTACCATCAGAGTGAACAGGCAACCTACAGAATGGGAGAAAATTTTTGCAACCTACTCATCTGACAAAGGGCTAATATCCAGAATCTACAATGAACTCAAACAAATTTACAAGAAAAAAACAACCCCATCAAAAAGTGGGTGAAGGACATGAACAGACACTTCTCAAAAGAAGACATTTATGCAGCCAAAAAACACATGAAAAAATGCTCATCATCACTGGCCATCAGAGAAATGCAAATCAAAAACACAATGAGGTATAACATCTCACACCAGTTAGAATGGCAATCATTAAAAAGTCAGGAAACAACAGGTGCTGGAGAGGATGTGGAGAAATAGGAACACTTTTACACTGTTGGTGGGAGTGTAAACTAGTTCAACCATTGTGGAAGTCAGTGTGGCGATTCCTCAGGGATCTAGAACTAGAAATACCATTTGACCCAGCCATCCCATTACTGGGTATATACCCAAAGGACTATAAATCATGCTGCTATAAAGACACATGCACACGTATGTTTATTGCGGCATTATTCACAATAACAACGACTTGGAACCAACCCAAATGTCCAACAATGATAGACTGGATTAAGAAAATGTGGCACATATACACCATGGAATACTATGCATCCATAAAAAATGATGAGTTCATGTCCTTTGTAGGGACATGGATGAAATTGGAAATCATCATTCTCAGTAAACTATCGCAAGAACAAAAAACCAAACACCGCATATTCTCACTCATAGTTGGGAATTGAACAATGAGATCACAAGGACACAGGAAGGGGAATATCACACTCTGGGGACTGTTGTGGGGTGGGTGGGAGGGGGGAGGGATAGCATTGGGAGATATACCTAATGCTAGATGACAAGTTAGTGGGTGCAGCGCACCAGCATGGCACATGTATACATATGTAACTAACCTGCACAATGTGCACATGTACCCTAAAACTTAAAGTATAATAATAAAAGAAAAAAAACTTAAAAAAAATCTATTAACCATAAAAAAAAAGAATTATTCAGGTAATATTTCTGGTGAATGAGATTAATTTTCTAATATTCCCAATGAGATCAAGGAAAAATTCCACAAAGCTATGAAATATCTATTATATGAATTATAAGCATGGTAGAAAATAGCATGCTTCTACTAAAAGCCCTAATAAAATCTATTATATTGAAAAAAAAATATTTAGTGGTAACATAAAGTCTGGATGACTAAAGTAAGATTTGAAAGAAAAAAGCTGCTCACAAATAAGGTGAAGACTATGTGGTGAACATGAGGATTTTTAAAAAGCAAGTGGGTTGTGCTCATTAAGTCAATAAGCAAAAAATAGTTTTAAACAATTACTTTATAGTATGAATAGATTTGTCAAAATAGCTTTTAGTAAAAATAATAAGAATGCTCAAGGATACCAAAATAGAGTCAGGAGATAAGGTCCATGTTTTAACACACTTTATAAATCAATTTTAGAGATTACAAAAGGCAAGAATTCCATGAAGCATAGAATTATTATTTGCACGTCATGAAAGATAGGTAAATGTACAAAGTCTTTACTATTAGGAGAGGTAATTATAGAAAAGTTTATTACATAGAAACAATAAGATAAGCAATTATGAGAATAGGTAAGTTTAAATTCTATTTTATCTTCAACTTTTTTCTTTGTCATTAGTATTACATTAGTAAATGAGAAGGTGGCTCTGCATCTGAGGCTTTCTAGAATAATTGACAGAGTATGCTTCAAATTGGATTTATTTGCCAATTTGTGTTTAGCAGGCTTAAAGAAGGGTAGTTGGGAATATTGCAATCTGACTGAAGAATCAAAGCTTGATGATAAATGTGAGTAGGTCCAGTTGGAGGTAGGAAGGATCTTGTAGGGTGCCACAGCAGTCACTCTTAGATATGATCATAGTTAGCATTTTTATTAGGGAATCTGAATAGGAGTAAATATCAAATTAGTGGAACAGCTGAGAAATGAACTAGGAGCACTAGTTTATAGCAATAGGGAATATAATAAAATATCAGTAGATGGAAACTGAAGAACCATAGTGAGAAAAATAAAAGAAAAAAGCAAAATAGAAATCTGGTTCAGTAGGATGATGAATCATTCCCGCATGAATTTTAATCAGAAACTCAATTATAAAGTACTCTGAAATTGCATAATAATAACTAAAGGTGCCTGCATAGACAATAAACTTGGGCATTGTAAGTTGTCATCAGGGTTTTGTCATCCCCAGTAAATTATTCTGCCTGTCTACACCCATATCCCATCTGTAGGAAGAAAGTACTGGAATGGATTGCCTGGATTTGATTTCTGTGGCTGGAATATCACATATTGTAATATGCGCATAAAAATATGTGACAACAAAGGCAATAAAAATTCCATCAATTATGAAATAACCTTGAACTTCCTTTTTCTAATCACAAATGTACATTACTGTAGGTTGATCCTAGGTACAAATAAAGAATGTGATGTTATAGGTACTTTCCCAGGTTATAGCCTGAAAGAGGTTTTACCATTAGGATGGGTGAAAAGTTGCATGGCTTAAACAAGAAAATTCCTGAGGATTAGTTCGTTGTTTCTTTCCTTCCTTCTTCTTTGCTCCTGTGTTGTTTTTCCCCCCATACATCTGGATATCCAAATTACTTCTATTATGCTAACCACTTTTAATCTGAATACTCTCTTTTGGATTTTTTTCAATTCTCTGATTAATTTAAGGAGTGTCAGTATTGATGGTTTTCAATTAGAGGGGTTTCCTAGGCTTTAGCTTTAGCTACCAGCTGGTGGTAGCTGTTATTTAATACTGAAATAAAGAATCCAAAAAATTTTCTAAAATTTAGCATTAACACAATTACTCCTATGTTCATTTGAAAAATTGAATGGACAGATAATTTTTAATTGAACATCAAAGCTAATGAAAATAAATTGGAGCCCGCAAATTCACTTTAAAAGGCTTTTCTAGGCTACTGACTCCTAGGAAAAAAAGCAGCATTATTAGCTAAAGAAATAGAAATTAAAGGTGAATTTTTTCTTACTTGGTCTTTATGGAAAAAACTTTTCTTAATTTTATTATTTTACTTTTGTACTCATAGGTCATTCCAATTGCAGTTATAAGAGCAATTATGTCTATTTTGCCCTAGCAAAATAAAATAGACAAGGCATTTAAATCCCTTCAAATATGTTTTGTTCTAATATATGATTTGTTCTATATTTTTTTTACCTCAGAATACATCTCTTCAGCAACTTGACAAATTCATTTGTTGTTTCATTATTACCTCTAAACAAAGGCTGCCCTCTTTTTTCTTGAATAAAACAGCATTTTATTAGTAAATTGATTTTAAAAGTTAACCTTTAACTCTCTAAAATCTGTTTCTTTATGCCTCTACTGGAATTAAAAAACAATAATGAAAGCAAAAAAGTAAAACAAAACAAAATCCAAAACTAACCAGTTAAAACAGCCAATACCACCACCAGTGAAAACAACAACAAAACATTAAGAATTTTAACTAAGGTAACATTCAAATCAAGGGAGAAAATTTAAAATCAGAAAAATAAAACTAATATTCTTTATCACTTCTTTATAATACTTCTTTGTATAATAATAACTGGCAGCTATGGATGCTAGTTAAGCATTATAAATATGCATAGAAATAGAATATGTCATTTATTCTTTATAATCTCATGGGAAGACGGTACTGTCATTCCTAGTTTGTAGATGAGAAACGAGAGGAGTTGAGAAGTTCAGAATTTGCCCAGAGATGCACAGCCTGAGAAGAAGGTTTTGAAAAACCTGCACTCCACCAGCCACACTCAATTCCCATTATTTCCTATGTTTGGTAATTCCATGCTCAAGAACGTTAAAAACATATCTCATTCATTAAAAAAAAAAACAAAAAAACAAAAAACAAAAAACTCGAGACAATGTAATCTTATTTGGCATTAAAAGAAATGCAGTTCAATGATACAAAAGGGCCAGTGCCAATTCAGAGTAGGGTTCTTCATTGCTGGGTGAAACAAGGAATTCATTTCGTTTTCAACCTCTGCTTGCAATTTAGTTTCTTACAATGCTGAATGAGTATTTCTATTGTGCTATCTGGGCTCCATAGAGTAGACAAATGGAGAGGGATCTGCTTAGTATGCAGATTTATGTTAAATATAATTGATGGAAAGACCTCTGGATTCTTTTTGCTGGAGAGAAGTCAACTGCTTATGAACCTTAATACATCTGCAAAATCTTTTAGCCCATAGTTGTGAATATGATATTCCATCATAGTCACCATTCTGTTAACACTCAGGGGGAGGCATTTATGTTGAGTGTGTACAACAAGGGCTGGGAATCTTGTGGACCATCTTAGAATTCTGCCTACTGCGTGGTAGGAGAAGTTTCTATAAAATTTTTGTTGCCTTACACATAATATAGAGGGGGAAAAACTCTTATTGTGACATGTGCACACTGACAATGGTGAACTTCACCTAAGCCCTGTGATCCTGGAAATAGCAATGGCTAAGAAATCCTTCCACACTTTGTGTTCCAGGAAGTGGATCACTGCAAAGAAATGCTTCTCCTCTACATCTTTATTTGGGATCTTTTTTTAGATTTCCAATGAAGACAGTCTTATCTAATGACTTAGATAAGATGAAGGGGCACCTCTCTTATTTACCTATTATAAGGCCAGTCAAAGACCCTCCAAAATTTCTGTTCTTTGCCTCATAAATGATTAGATTAACTGTGTCTTTCTCACTAACCAAATGGAGGAAAACGCCTATTAATATGATTTGATCAAATTTTACTTAAGCTTTTCTCCTTCCTCCACACCCCTGAACTTTGATTCACCCTTAGTCTGAGTCAGCATATACCCACTCTTTAACAGTCCTTCCGAAGAACAGGCTGAGTTCAGGGCAAAACATTCTTTGATCTACTGTCCTGTCACTGCCACTTCCGCCCCTTCTTTGAATTTACCCCACTTCCTACACCAGGTTCTCTCTAACCTTGCTTACTCCTCCTATTAAAAAAAAAAAAGCCCTTTTCTGCCTAATTAGAGATGCCTAACACAGATAGAACATCCTTTCTATTGCAATAGCCTCTTCATTTCTACCCCTGGCAATAATCCATTCGAATAGTCTCTCCTTACCTAAGTCCAGATTTGTTTTTTATTTGGCAAATCTGTGCCCTTTGAGGCCATATTCTATTCAATTGATGTAATTTTTTAAACCATTGCTCCAAACGCAGGACAATTATTCCTACATCGCTGGCTGCTGTGCACTGAGACAATGACCCAAATGACTCATGCAGAAATCTCCACACAGCAATAGTTCTTTTCCTTGGAACAGTTAATTAAAATTGCCCCTCTCAGATTCCAGTGAATTTAATCTGGTTAGCTTAAATTAAAACAAACTGCAATAAAAGTTAGAATTTAAAGGAAGAGAACTGCAAGAAAAGGTCATAACAGTTTTATTTTATTTATTTATTTATTTATTTATTTGACAGAGTCTCACTCTGTCACCCAGGCTGGAGTGCAGTGGCCGATCTCAGCTCACTGCAACCTCCGCCTCCCGAGTTTAAGTGATTCTCCTGCCTCAGCCTACTGAGTAGCTGGGATTACAGGTGCTCTTTACCATGCCTGGCTAATTTTTGTATTCTTAGTAGAGACGGGGTTTTGCCATGTTGGCCAGGCAGGTCTTGAACTCCTGACCTCAGGCCTCCCAAAGTGCTGGGATTACAGGTGTGAGCCACCGCGCCTGGCCAACAGTTTTAAATTTAAATAAACATAGGTGTTGGCAGTGGGGTAAAACCATTTTTATTTAGATGCTAGATCATGATGAATGATATCTTTATCCCTTGCATTGGCTGTGCCCTGGGATTCATATGAAATAAAGCAAAATTCATGAAATCCATGATGTTTAAATGACGTCTTATAGGCTTCTCTAGAAAATATTAGTCACACTGCATCATTATTTGGGATTTTTCTGATTTCCAATGAAGGCAGATTTTAAATTGTAGCTGTGGTTTTATGTATATATTTCTCATAAACCAAAGTACTTTCTCTTTCCTCCATAGTAGTGGTCACCAACTAGGTTGTTATTACATTATTTAATGATCAACTCTACTATGAGACAGAAAAAGAAAATGTCACAGTGAAAATTACAAAATAAATAACACTCTTTGATGTTAGCTAGGTTCAACTTTTCAAAACTTGAATTAATAAAGCTCTTTAGGTTATTGAGGAAATTTAGACCTTACCTTTCAAAGTCTAGACATTCTCTTCAGATTTTAAAGCTTCATTTTTTACCCAGGAAAGTTAACTCACTAGATTTAGAGATATAAAAAGCAAAATAGGACTCAGAACTTACAATTTATGGGAGACCAGCCTGGCCAACATGGTGAAAACCCATCTCTATTAAAAATATGACCCCCTCTTCCCCTCCCCCTCCCCCTCCCTCTCCCTCTCCCTCTCCCTCTCCCATGGTCTCCCTCTCTTGCGGAGCCTGGACTGTACCGCCATGACCTCGGCTCGCTGCAACCTCCCTGCCTTGGGCTCCGGTGGTTTTCCTGCCTCGGCCTGCCGAGTGCCTGGGATTCCAGACACGCGCCACCACTCTTGACTGGTTTTTGTATTTTTGGTGGAGACGGGGTTTCACCGTGTTGACTGGGCTGGTCTCCAGCTCCTGGCCTCAGGTGATCTGCCCGCCTCGGCCTCCCGAGGTGCTGGGATTGCAGACGGAGTCTCACTCACTCAATGCTCAATGTTGCCCAGGCTGGAGTGCAGTGGCGTGATCTCAGCTTGCTTCAACCTCCACCTCCCAGCCGCCTGCCTTGGCCTCCCAAAGTGCTAAGATTACAGCCTCTGCCTGCCCGCCACCCCGTCTAGGAAGTGAGCAGCATCTCTGCCTGGCCGCCCATCGTCTGGGATGTGAGGAGCCCCTCTGTCCGGCTGCCTCATCTGGGAGGTGAGGAGCACCTCTGCCCAGCCACCACCCCGTCTAGGAAGTGATCAGTGTCTCTGCCTGGCCACCCATCATCTGGGAAGTGAGGAGCGCCTCTGCCCGGCTGCCCCGTCTGGGAAGTGAGGAGCACCTCTGCCCGGCCGCCACCCCGTCTAGGAAGTGAGGAGCGTCTCTGCCTGACCTCCCATCGTCTGGGATGTGAAGAGCACTTCTGCCCGGCCGCCCCGTCTGGGAAGCGAGGAGTGCCTCTGCCTGGCCACCCCGTCTGGGAAGTGAGGAGCGCCTCTGCCTGGATGCCCCGTCTGGGAGGTGAGGAGCGCTTCTGCTCGGCTGCCCCATCTGGGAGGTGAGGGGCATCTCTGCCCGGCTGCCACCCCGTCTGGGAAGTGAGGAGCACCTCTGCCCAGCCGCCACCCTCTCTGGGAGGTGGGGAGCACCTCTGCCCGGCCGCCCCATCTGGGAAGTGGGCGCCTCTGCCCGGCTGCCCCGTCTGGGAGGTGAGGGGCATCTCTGCCCAGCTGCCCTTAGTCTGGGAAGTGAGGAGCGCCTCTGCCTGGCCACCCTTCATCTGGGAGATGGGGAGCGCCTCTGCCCGCCTGCCCCATCTGGGAGGTGGGGAGCGCCTCTGCCTGGCCGCCCTTCGTCTGGGAAGTGAGGAGCACCTCTGCCCGGCCACCCTTTGTCTGGGAGGTGGGGAGCACCTCTGCCCAGCTGCCCCGTCTGGGAAGTGGGCACCTCTGCCTGGCCACCCCGTCTGCAAGGTGAGGGGCATCTCTGCCCGCCCGCCCCATCTGGGAGATGGGGAGCGCCTCTGCCTGGCCGCCCTTCGTCTGGGAAGTGAGGAGCACCTCTGCCCGGCCACCCTTTGTCTGGGAGGTGGGGAGCACCTCTGCCCGGCTGCCCCGTCTGGGAAGTGGGTGCCTCTGCCTGGCCACCCCGTCTGCGAGGTGAGGGGCATCTCTGCCCGGCCGCCCCATCTGGGAGGTGAGGAGCGCCTCTGCCCGGCCACCCCATCTGGGAGGTGGGGAGTGCCTCTGCCCGGCCGCCACCCCATCTGGGAGGTGAGGAGTGCCTCTGCCCGGCCGCCACCCCATCTGGGAGGTGAGGTGTGCCTCTGCCCGGCCGCCCCGTCTGGGAAGTGAGGAGCGCCTCTGCCCAGCCGTCCCGTCTGGGAAGTGAGGAGCGCCTCTGCCCAGCTGCTCCGTCTGGGAAGTGAGGAGCACCTCTGCCAGGCTGCCCCATCTGGGAAGTGTACCCAACAGCTCCGAAGAGACAGCGGCCATCGAGAGCGGGCCATGATGACGATCGCGGTTTTGTTGAAAAGAAAAGGGGGAAATGTGGGGAAAAGAAAGAGAGATCAGATTGTTACTGTGTCTGTGTAGAAAGAAGTAGACATAGGAGACTCCATTTTGTTCTGTACTAAGAAAAATTCTTCTGCCTTGGGATGCTGTTAATCTATAACCTTACCCCCAACCCCCTGTTCTCTGAAACATGTGCTGTGTCAACTCAGGGTTAAATGGATTAAGGGCGGTGCAAGATGTGCTTTGTTAAACAGATGCTTGAAGACAGCATGCTCGTTAAGAGTCATCACCACTCCCTAATCTCAAGTACCCGGGGACACAAACACTGCCGAAGGCCGCAGGGACCTCTGCCTAGGAAAACCAGAGACCTTTGTTCTCGTGTTTATCTGCTGACCTTCTCTCCACTATTATCCTATGACCCTGCCACATCCCCCTCTCTGAGAAACACCCAAGAATGATCAATAAATACTAAAATAAAAATAAAAATAAAATAAATAAAATAAATAAAAAAATAAAAATATGAAAATTAAAAAAAAGAACTTACAGTTTATGGATTTAAGCAAGTTTTAAAGTCTTTATTGGGCTGAATTCTTAGTATTAAACACTAGATTTTAGATTTGAATAGTATCAATTAATACATGACATCTATATTCCGGTTTATGGGTGGAAAATAAAAAATCTCAACTTAATATATATGTGATTTAAGAAACTGATATATTTCTCTAGCCACTAGCAAAGCAGAAAATCTTCCTGATTTAATATGTTGCCTAATGCATGTTAACATATGCTTAGTGGCAATTTGATAAAAGTGCATTTTATAGGAAGTCTGACTGAATGGCAATTAAATAAATCCACGTCAAATCATGTTATCATAATCTTCATCTATTTCTTCTCTCTAACTCAGAGCTCATTTTTGAAGACATTAAACAAGACCCAATCATATAGGCTGATAGGATGAGATTCATATTATAATATTTGGAATTTGGATACTTTACACATTTGCACATTTCTACAACTCTCTGCATCTCATTAAATCTACAAAATCAGATGAAAATCTTATAGATTAAAAAATGAAAATAGTAGCATAGCAGGGTTTGTGATATACTAGGTTGAAAAAAGTATAACAGAATTTGTTCCTAAAATGTAATACATGAGGCACAGTTTCAGAAGAAACAGTAATAGAAATTGACCTTATCAAACATTTCAAATATTCAAATTTGAAAATAAATATTATCTTTTAATCTTAAACTTATGCATAAATTACCGTTATCCAGCATGGTGTCATAATAATGTCAATAGCATCATCCCTCAGAGTCAGGATGCAGCCAGTTCCATCATCAATTCACGTGGCCTGATCTTAGCTGGATCATAATGCATTCAGCAATCCTTTCCTCATGCAACCATCATGGGCACATTGTTAAAAGATCATGGACACATTGTTGATGATGTCCACATACCTTTCTATTCTTCTCCAATCTTAATCTCATTCTTATACTCTTCATTCTTTACAGTTGACTGCATATTGAGATTGGGATCTACTAAATAATTTGTTTTAAAGTTTTCCCTTTTCCATCCGAAATTTCAGCTTTTATAAAGCCTGTTCTTCACCTAACCCCATAATAAGAAATGAGTTCATTAAAACAAAATGAAACATTTTCTTGAGGTATGATTAACATGTAAAAGAGACCTGGATCTGACCAGAGTAACCCATTTCCCTGGCAACAATGATTCACTCAAAAGGTGAACATGTGACTCAGATATATCAAAATCACTCCCTGGGATTCATATTTAGGTGACAAAGATAAAGACACCATCTCTCTCTGCTCTTGTTCCTAAGCTTAGAGCTTCCAGTAGTCATGCTTTTTGCTGTGTAGAGAAAACATCTTGGTAAGAAAGAAGAATGAAGCCAATATGTAGAAAAGCAAGGTTAGAAATGGAGACAGTGCCCTGAAGTCTCCACTGTGATTCCCTGGTCTCAAGTGTTTCTGAGGTTTCACACATTACTGTCCTGACTAGAGTTTGGCTGTTCAATTGTTCCTTAAATTATGAGAATTAATTAGTTCATCTTATTTTCTTGGTTCCACCTGGGTTTCAGTCATATGCAAACTAAATATTCCAAACTGATAGATGTATCCACATTCTTCTGCTGGTCTCCATCCAGTCTTTGGGGGCCAGACCACAGAAAAGAAGGTACATGGTGTTTCTGGTTGTAGGATTACAGGAAAGGGAAAAGATAGACCCTTCTGGCCTGGCTATGAGCTGTAGTTTTGATAAATTTCCATTCTTTCATGTAGTTAAGACCTGTACGTGATCTTTCTGTGATCTTCCAGTTATGTGTTAACTTTGGAAATATGTTATAAATGAAAAATGCCTTTTGTTGAGAATTGCCATCCTTAGAGGGATTGCATAGAATAAACACAATGAAAAGTAAGGAGTGGCTGGGTGCAGTGGCTCACGCCTGTAATCCCAGTACTTCGGGAGGTCAAGGCACGTGGATCACCTGAGGTCGGGAGTTCAAGGCCAACCTGACCAACATGGAGAAACCCCATCCCTAGTAAAATAATAATAATGATAATAATAATAATAATAATAATAATTATCCAGGCATGGTGGCGCATGCCTGTAATCCGAGCTACTCAGGAAGCTGAGGCAGGAGAATCACTTGAACCTGGGAGGCAGAGGTTGTGGTGAGCCGAGATTGCGCCATTGCACTCCAGGAGCATATAAACTGGACTACACATTTTTTTTTCCTTTTGGAGAAAAAGGAAAATCTAGCTAAATAAATTATGTTCATATTTTAATTTCCCTTTTTTCTAAAGAACCACATTTACATCGAGTATTTAAGGTCACAGCTTTGCAATTTGCAGAGATAATAAGCCCGAGTCTTAGTAAATAAAAATGAATGAGCATCACTAACACATTTTATTTTGTTACCAGATTTCTCTCCCATCTGGGAAAAGAGACGTAGTGTCAGTTCAAACAAACGATTAAACGAAAGGAAAGGGACACGTCATGGTCTTCACATTTAATTATATGTAATTTATTTTTCTGATGAAAAATGATGTTATTCTTGCAGTAAATTAGCTATTTGGAAGTTTCATGGTTTCTAGACAAAGACCTACCAGTGAGAAAGAGAAGAGGATCAGAGGAAAGGATTCTTGATTTCCTGAAGTTAAGAATGGCAACAGGGTCAATTGGGTGTTACAATGGGAGCAACAACCACGTAAATGAAATATAGTTTCCCTTAATAATGCATTCATATATAACATGTTCTCTAAAGAGTCATGAAGGACAGCATTGACTTCTGGAATTATTCATTCAAAAAATATTTATTAAACATTTGTCCTGTGCCAAATGCCATTTTAGGCAGTAGAGACACAGTGATAAACACCAAAATTCCCTGTCCTCAAGGAGCTTTCCTTCTCTAGGGAACAGCAATATATGGGGATTGAAGATATGGCTTGTCCTCATGCTCGCAAATGATACTTATGAAAATGACTACCAACTCCTTATATGCATGAAAAAGTTCCACTGCCCACAATGGGCATGCAATAGCAAGTTTCACTCAGCAACCTTTTGCAGTGGAAGAAAGATCCGTTGAGTATGCTCTTGCTCCTAAATACCTGTTTTGCAGATGTTTCGAGGCCAATGGCCTTGAATGGGGTGAGGCCAATAGCCTTCTTCCTTCTAGTTATAGGGATACTGTATGACTTATTTTCCAAACTAGAAAACCTTAGAAATTCAAAGAAGTCACTAGCAGTAATTATGTTAGGACAACAACCATAAAGGCAGCCCTGTCTCTAGATCCTGTATGTCTGTTTGCTCACTCTGTTGACCTGCAGCCACTTTGCTGGGTAGGCTGCCTTTAAACAACCATTGTGTGCCACCTAGCAAGACTCTTGAGCTTCAGAAAAAGCTAGTAGTCTCTGGGGATACTAGGGACTGATTTTAACTTCCCCAGTTCCTACGACTAGACAAAAACTGTTCAGCAGGGAACCTTGATATTTTGACAGCCTCGTTGTCCCCAGTTTTATAAGGAAGGAGATATTCTCTCCAAAAAGTGACCAATCTTTCCTGCTTCATCAGCTTCAAAGAATGTTAAAGGACATATTTGAATTTCTTGTCCTTGGAGGCCTGTAAATTAAGAGCAAATTGTGTGAGAACTCCCTACAGCACCCCTGCTGGATAATTGAGCAACACTGCAAAATTCCCTAGGCTTCCAGCCTGCATGCGTGGGGCAAGGTAATAGGACTTATAAAGGACTTTCAGTTTCTAAACTTCATCATATAATTTTATAATCTTCACAAATGACACTTTTAGCAGCCCAGATAATAAAATACAATCGTTTTGCTTGACAAGTGTTGGTTCAGTAGATTAACGGCTCCGAATGTGTTGTTTATTATTTAACCTTGGTTGAGCTCCAATAGTACTGCCATTGAATAAGACACATTCTGTATATTTTAAGAAACATCTGTTATGTGATTTAAAATTCATCCATATATTTGTAAAAGTTTGGCGACAGGAATAGGTTGACAAAAATTTAGGAATAAACTTGCCTTAGCTGGGGCAACCACTCAGTAATTACCAACTTTATTCTATTTGATAAGTCAAGCTACATTTCCTTATGGCCTGCTTGATTAGGCTTTTCTTCTGGCCTTTTTCCCCTGGCCATTTTTCCCTAAGAAATCTGTGCTCTTTGCCTATTTCCTAGAATGGCCTGAAAGAGCATATCTGTCTTTTTCTGGGACTTGTGGAAGTCCCAATACCTTGCATAGCTCATGACACAATGGTTATCTCTGAATAAGCCACTCTTTAAAATAATTTAGGTGGGTTGATAACATGCAGGATTCTAGCAACACTGAACACAGATCTTGAAAAAATACAATCTATAATCTTGGGAATTATTTGGACAAACTATTTTCCTATAGGCATATACAATTTCAGTTAACACATTTTCTTCCACGCGTTAGAGATTAAACAAGCATCTCTGTGATTTAATTGAGGTATATCTAGTAAATGTCCCTAAAACATCAATCCTAATCTATCATTTTAGTTTCATTCTTTTGAATCGAAGGATTTTCTTCAAGAATCTCCTATTAAAATGCAAATAAAACTTTGACTGTTAATAATCACCATAGCTGAAATTAGTTCCCAAGAAAGCCTGGATTGAGATGCAAAGATATCCACCCTCAATGTTTGCCTCTGGTCTGTTCCACAGTAACATTTTAATATAGGTTCTAAAACACTTGAAAACCTGCAGCTTTGTGGAGAAAGACTTCACATGTGTTTTACACACATTCAAGAATATAGAACTTGCAAAATAGTAACCGTAGGCATCATTTTTTCTTTTATAAATCCACAGCTGTGTTTTGGGATAACGACCACAGATCAAGGGGAGAGGGAGGATTTAGCTCTTATTACAAATTAAGATAATCATTATCATTTTAAGAAAAATTATAAATCGCAGTATCCATGCTGCACTGGAGTTTTGTGTTATTAGTTTCCCTTTATAGTTAATTTTCTTGAAAATTTTATTTAGGCAGTGAAGGTGAGGTTTTGATAGATGGTGCGAGGGGTTGTTTTTGCCTTTGAAAGCTGTGTTCGCTCCTTGGATGCTTGAATTTCTCATGGCAGCATTGATAGTTTAGAGAAAATTGGGAGCACTCCAGTTGCGTTTTCTGTTATGTGAGTGATGGACAGAAGGTAGCACCTATGAACGTCAGATTTTCCTGTTTGCAGAGGCATAGTGACTACTTTAATCTATAATTCAGTTGCTTTACTTCATTAGAAAAGTGCTTTTGGGGTGTGAGAGTGTCTTCCAGCCTACTATGAATGTGCTGTGTTAAGCGAAACTATTTTAATACATACTGTTGGTTCAATAGAAGTATTAAAATGAACATAAAATGTCCAATCAAGAACTGATAAGGTCATTACAAAGCACCAAGTAGATGATGGGTTATAAAGAGTTTAGAAAATTTTTGATAACATAGAAAGTGTACCAAGGGTAAGAAGATATACAAAATTAAACCGTGAATCACCTTTTTTACATAAATTAATTTAGCTAATTAACATTGTAAAATCTTGGGCTTAATATGGATTGACTAGGATGACATAAGACTATTTTCACCTAGACAGTTGTCACCGTTGACATTTAGATGCTCTCCTTGCATTCAGCTTGCCTCTACTCCATTTCACAAGCCCACACGTTCATCTTTCATCCAAATGTAATGGATCCAAATGTGACACATGACTAAGAAGCAAAGAATATCAACGCTGAGCTCATCCCCTCCCCTGAGGACAACTTTGTTAGCCCCTCTGAAAAAAAGATAGGTTTATATTTGGAAAGATGCAGTGCTCTTAAAGACAAGCCTCCTAATAGAGTAATTACATTTCAGATCTGTTTATTGATATAAGATGAAAGATAAAGCAACATGGAAAACAATGATGTGAAGTGTAAGATTAAAATCTTTATTTTTCTTTTTAGTTTATGGACAATTCTACAACATAAAATCTCATTATGCCCCTGGCTCTAAGAGAAAGGTTTTAGCTTTTATTTTAGTTTACTTTTGAAATGTATGCATGCCTCACTACTCTTCAATCTGTCTTCTTCTATTTATATTACCATATCATGAAAAGAGGGAATGCCAACGATCTGTAGAGGCAAGCCCACCCAATTTGGTATTCCAAAATACAGGTGAAAAATAACTCCAGATGATGTGAAAAAGAAAGGAATCCTGTGTTCTAGGACAGAAAGAAGTCTTTGGCCACTATTTTACCACTTGCCTTTTCTGTGCTTGCTTAAAATATGTAACACATATATCTGTATAATGGCATAGTAAAAATTCAGATATAAATGGGTAAACTGAACTGGAGAGATTTGATTTCTACCTGTCTCTTTTTTCCATACTAGGAGCTCCTTTGGAGTTGAATTTATTTATTTTTTGTCCACTTAGGAAAGTTTATGACACATAGAAAGTAGGTACTTTAAAAAATGTTCGAATGAATGAATAAACACAAAATCTGTAAAGATGAGGATTTATAAGAATGACTGGGATTAACAAAAGTGTAGGCAACAGGCAAAGGAGTCAGTAAGTTTGCAACCCTTTACAAACAGATCTTCTCAATGAGAGTCACTGTAGACAGGAAGGTTTTCGTCTCCCTGCTTTTCCTTCTTCCAATATTTATCTTCATAGGAAAATAAAGCCTATTTGCTTCCCTCTTCTGTTTGCCAATTGTCTGCTGCCTGGAGATTCTGGCTCCTGTTTGAAAAGAAAGCATATTCTCATGTTCCCCCTGCCCTCGGCCCCCCGCCCAGCCCCCGGAAGGACTGCTCTTCCTATACTTTATCACAATTACCTTGACTCTGGTCTGAATGTGGCAGGTTCTCATGTTGATACTCAGGAAAGATCATGAACAAAACATTATTAAACAAATCTAGTGTTCCCAGTAATCCATTTCCAGCTAAAATCCTCCTGCTGGTTTCTCCCATATGTTTTGTACTGTTGTCCTAGAAAAGGTCACTTTTTTTGTTTTTCTGCTTCACTAGAGAACTGTATTGATGAGAACATCACCTTGAATTCTTTGATTTTAACCCTCTTGGCAGCTATTTCTCTAGGGAAAGACATGGCATTTATTCAAATGCTGGTGTCACATTCCATGCTCTTTTTTCCTTAAAAAACAAAAAAGCTCATTGTGGTATCAGTGGCATACAATAAATTGCACATCTTTAAAAATGTAAAATTGGTGAAAATTTGACATATGCATACACAAGTGAGACCATCACCATAATCAAGAGAATAAGCATATCTATTATTCACAAATTGTTTTTGGTCTCCAAGCCCATTCAGGGTCCTGGACCCTTTCTGAAAGAAGTGACGTAGAGGATTGAACTCAATGCTTTTTGTTATCCTCTGTGTCCCATTCTATTCTTGGGGTGTTATAATTTCTCAAAGGAATTTTATTTGTACAGTTTAAGACAATTGTATTACTTCTTCTACACAACACTACTAAGTATTATGTAGTAGCATTGCTCTTGCTTCCTCTCATTGCAGACAGCTGGTTGTCCTCCAATCTACTTTTCTACTTTTCCTTTTGTAATAGCTACCCAGAGTTTTAGCCAGACAGAAAATGCCCCCCCAATAGACAATGTCATTCCCCAGTCTCCTTGCAGTTAAGCGTGACCAAGTTCTGTTCAATGGAATGTGAGTAGAAGTAATAAGTACAACTACTAGCCGTTCTCTCAAAGGTTTGGAGTGTAGATGCACTTTGCTTAGGCAAGAATCCAGGTTCAATGGTCATCTTAGACCACAAGATAGAAACTGCAAGTTGAAGATGGCAATGTGAAAAACAGAAGGGACTATATTAAGCCTGAACTTTTGAAACTATTATGTGGGAGAAAAATAAGATTCTATATTGTTTAAGACACTGTATCTTTAGGATTATTTTGGTTACTGATCTAAAACTATATTCTAATTGGTACACTTGCGCTATGGTCTGAATGTTTGTGTTCCCCCTACCCTACATGCATATGTTGAAGCCTAATCTCAAAGGTGGTGGTATTTGAAGGTGGAGGCTTTGGGAGTTGATTAAGTCATGAGAGCAGAGCCCTCATGAATTGGATAAGTGTTCTTGTAAAAGAGACCTGAGGTCGTTGGTTCACCCCTTCCACCAAATGACGATGCATAGAAGGCACCATGTATGAAACAGATTGGCCCTCCCCAGACATCAAATCTGCTGGTATCTTGATCTTGGACTTTCCAGATTCTAGAACTGTAATGAATAAATTTCTGTTCTTTATAAGCCACTCAGTTCATAATATTTTTGTTATTGTAGCCCGAATACAAAGACAAGTTCTATTTTTATAAATACAGAAAACTTGGACAAGAGTGGATAAATTAGCAAACCTGTGATTCAAGCCATCTTGTTACAACGATTATTTGCTTCTTCTAAAATAAACTCAAGGGTAAAGAGTAGACTATTTGAAATCATTTCCAATGAATGTCATAGAATCCCAGACATTTATTTAGGAAAATGATTTAGCAAGATTGGCAACCTGGAATACTTACATAGCTGCTGCTTTTCAGACTTAAAAAAAGTCTGTTCTCAAGAAGTGCCCTTTAAACAAATACTTGGCTAGACACGCTAGCCTCATTTATTATATCCAGAACATTAATATTCTTCTTATTTCTGTAGGCCATTGCTGTTTTACCTTCATTATAGCAGCAGTTAGAAACTTTTCTAGAATGGTAACAAGACCTGATTTGATATCATCAAGTAAATAGTCTGGTAGGATGCTTTTTTAGTTCTCTGCCAGGAAGGACTGAGTGTTAAATATGTCATAATTTTATACTTTTTTATATGCAGAAAGTCTACCTTGACATTATCTGAGTGGCACAGCTGCACTGATTTTCCTTGCTACTCTCACACCCCTAAACATTTAAAGCTCCTTTATTATAATGGTAGATATTATGTAATGAAGGTAGTTCTGAAAGGCCATAACATAACAGACCTTTACTGCTGCCGAATTGAAATATCAGGCACAGCAGATGAACAGGTTGCCTAGCAACTGATACTGCAAGCTCCAGCGACTGCTCAGGCTCACTGAGATTGACAAGGGAGCCATCACTGGCTGCCTGTACCTTCCTACTTAGCAATTCTGACAGTGAGACCAAAGCCACCAAAAGGAGGGTTATGTGATTAATTATTAACATTTAAAGAGCATGTGTGTGTGTGTGTGTGTATATATATAAAATGTGTGTGCGAATGTATGCACATACATGCTGTCTTTAAATGTATAATTAGAAACGTATAGTTAGAAACTTTTCTTAAAGATATTCTTACATTAAAAGAGACAGAGATAGAGAAAGACAAAGACAAATAAATAAAACAGAGAATGGAGGAAGTAAAATAATTGATTTGAAAAAGAACAAAATAAGAAAAATGGACCTATTGTGAGCTTTGGTTTTCCATTTTATAATGAAATGCAATTTATTTTGGCTGAGACACATGTCTAATGCATGCATGACTAGGCATGTCCAAATAAATTTATCTTATAATAACCATGAAATGACTTTTGAATATCTGAACAGGTGGAGCTACATGTTTCTGTACACTGTTTCACAGCCAATCATGTGTTGTGCTCAAATTGTTGAACATTACTAGCACTCTGATTTAGAAGCGCCAATTTTCATCCACTGGAAATGAGAGATTTTATTTTATATTTTGTGGCCCAAATAATTAACTCTTGTGAAGTATTTCTTTTCTACACTGTTTCACAGACAGGATTTAGTTTCTGGAGTTTTTGAAATATGTAAACATGGAGCACCATTCAAAATATGTCTCTTAAATAAATTCAGTGCATGGCAATCTTTCTGTGCAATGTTCAAACAAGGAACTGTAAACTCTTTTGTTTTAGAGTAAAATAAAGAATTTATTTTGAGATCCCTCAGATTTTAGAAGCCAATCATTAATTATAACATCTGTCCCATTTCAAATAGAATTGAATTTATGTTTTGCTATGAATTTCATCTAGAAATTAATCATTCATATTCATGGACATAATGCACACGGTCTAACTAGCATATTTAAAAAATACATATATCCTCTGGTTCAGCAGTTTTACTAGTAGGAATTTATTTTATAGTAGGCTCCTGATATATGGAAACATACAGGTTCAACAACACTAAGTGCAATATTGATCATAAGAGCAAAACATTTTAACCTAAATATCCATTAATAGGATACTAGTGACATAAATTATTATATAGCCATAAAAGAGCATAGCAACCCTACTAGCAGAATTGCTGAGTCAGGTATAATATGTATGTTTAAGATTTATTAGCTGGGCCATATGCTTTATATCCATGATACCTATATCCATTATGAATAATGTTATGGATGTATATTTTAGCAAGAAATATATCCAAGAGATATGTGAAGTAGACAACATTTAAACAAGAGAATGTAAATAAAACCCTATTTGTGTACCAAAATCCAGGATATATATGTGTTTATATGTGGATACATGCTTTTATAGTAGTTCGTTTTAGAGAAAAACTTTAGTATACATTCAGAGGTGGGTCAGGGAAGGGGATTTTGCTGTTTACCGTAAACACTTTTGCCTTTTAAAAAATCACGAACATATATTACTTTTACAATAAAAATGCTAAAACACATGTTGCCTAGTAATAATACTATGAAATATATTACTTTATTTATGCTTTGTACAGACATCCACAAACTGAAAAAAATTTGTCATATTATTTTAGCACAGCATCTTTAGAATCATCCTGTCTTCCATAATCTTGTTAGGGAAAAGATGAAAAATGGTGTTCTTAGTTCTTCCTTGGATCTTATGTGTGTTTCTAGGGTCTTAAGTAAATTAGTTCATGAACTTTTCTGAATTACAGGCAATTATCTTTTCAAAAGTCCCAAGAAGAGTTAGGGAATTAAGAAGGAGCAAATGTAAAACTGATTTCTTTCTTTCTTTGAAGCCCCAAAGCCAATAATGTAATTATCTTCTATTAAGTTGATCTCATCCTCTGGTAAAATAATGAAGTAAGTATCAATGAAGTGGCACTTTAGTCCTTGTATCATCTCTTATGAAAACAGATTGCAAGATTTGTAGAATAAATATTCTACTTTGGGGGAAATTGTATGTCTGCTTTGGATGATGTTTTCCATATAACCCACCCACCACCATGGAAACAGAGCTTACATATATACTAGAGAAAAATGATGACTTAGCTTCTGAGAAGTTGATGGTTTAAGAGAATAGACCAACTTTATGATAATTTCCTAAACATGGTCCCAAATGAGACAGTTCAAATACAATCAGTTTGGATATTTAATTATAGCCAGAGTGGCTGGCTTCTGGTTACCAGTGATTTTCTGAAAGGAAGGTTAAAATACAGAGGCTCTGGAAGTAGATATGGTAGAAATTATACGGAAGGACTGAGGGAGAAACATGTGAGTTACTTAAGAACGTGCACATTACCAGTGATAGGCAGGAATGTCGTCTTTGAGAAATGGACTCAATTCAGCTTTCTGGTTTCCTATTCAAATGATCTGTTTTATTTTGTTTTGTTTTATATTTTGCCTCAGACATGCCCACTCTAAGGCAAACCCTCTTGCCACATTTCCCACATAAAGTAACATCAAATGTCTCATGGAGGAAAGCTTACAAAGCACAGAGTTTAACTCATATCCATCCTTACTCATCTTGAGCCCCATCCTTTCCTCTCTTCCCTCATCATATGACTGAACAATGTAGCTTACCTCAATAACATCATTAGGAAATAGAAGAAGAGATAATGTTTGTAAATGGTTGCTATGGTTTGAGTGTATGTGGTCCTCTCAAAGTTATTTTGGAACTTAAACCCCACGGTGATGATATTAAGACACGGAGTCTTTTGGAAAGTGATTAAGTCCTGAGGGCTCCACCTTCATGAATGAGATTCATGCCCTTATAAGAGAAACTTCAGAGAACTGCCTGGTCCTTCCATCTTTTCTGCCCCATATGAGCACACAGCAAGAAGATGCCATCTTGGAAGCAGACACTGAATCTGCTGGCACCATGATCCTGGACTTTCCAGCTTCCACATCTATGAGAAATAAATTTCTAATGTTTATAAATTACCCAGCCTAAGATATTTTGTTATAGCAGTAGGAATGAACAAAGACAATGATTTGTTCCATTTCTTTATTTCATATTCAGAGGTTAAACTGTAAAATAGGCATTGAGAAAGGCACTTTGGCCAGGACTTGACTAAATCACAGAGGTTCTACTGTTTCCTCTGTACTTGGGCTTCACTTCAATGTTCCTGAAAACAGGTTTTGAAGACAGAGAGATTTGGCCTAAGACCTTGTCACTGATTGGTTAAACTCTGAGTTACCTTAGATTCCATATCATTAACTTGGGGATAATAATAACAGCATTGTTGGACTGCTTTGGAATTAACTATGATAATTCTTTTTAATGTGCCTCAGCACAGTGATTGGTAGACATTAGGTAACTGTATATTCTCTTCTTCCCTTGAGAAAAACATTATTATTATTATTATTATTATTATTATTATTACCAGAAGGAGATAACAAAGAAAGCTAAGCAAAGGCATTCTATATTGCCTTGACTATTTTTGAATTATTGATGTTGGTGATTTTACAACGTTTATAGCTAGCAGTGAGGTTGACTCCCTAAGAAGATCAGTTCTGTGAGTAGCCAATTTTGGCTCTCATGGCTGAGCATTTCCTGCCTTCTTCAGTCCAGGCAAGCCTCCTGACCACCACTCCTCTGAACCATGCCACTTCCTTCTCTTCGTCACTGCTTTTGTTCATCTCACTTTCCTTCCAGGATAAGAGCTGAGCTTCATCCAGTAGGCAAAGTAGAACTACGGGGTTTCTAAAATATGGCTGTGAAATAATTAGATTTTTGTTTTAAAAAGATAACTGCAGGCTGGGCGCGGTGGCTCATGCCTGTAATCCCAGAACTTTGGGAGGCCGAGGTGGGCGGATCACAAGGTCAGGAGATCGAGACCATCCTGGCTAACACGGTGAAACCCCATCTCTACTAAAAATACAAAAAATTAGCTGGGCATGGTGGCAGGTGCCTGTAGTCCCAGCTACTCGGGAGGCTGAGGCAGGAGAATGGCATGAACCCGGGAGGCAGAGCTTGCAGTGAGCCGAGATGGCACCACTGCACTCCAGCTGGGCAACAGAGCGAAACTCTGTCTCAAAAAAAAAAAAAAAAAGATAACTGCAGACAAGAATGGATAAGAGACTGAACTAGGACAGTGGCAGGGGGAAAGGAGATAATGGAACTGACTGATTCATGAGGATTTTGGAAGTGGTATTAACAGGACTTGGGGGCTGATGGAAATGGCAGGGAGGAGGTATAAGAGAAGAAAGCTGGGCAACTGAGGCATCCAGGTTGATTAGACGGGATGGGTGGAGATGATGGTACCACTGACTAAGTTAAAGAATGGTGCTAGGGAAGACAAGGCCTTCAATCCTGTTCATTGTGACATTGTGAGAGAAATTTGTAGTAGACTGATATAAATGCAGTCAGGAATTCAGGATGGGAAAGAGGTACATCTATGAATGGATATAACAGTTATCAAAGCGAAGCAGAATGAGTTTTGGAAGGTAGCATTCTGGAAATCGTACTGTTAACCTGGCTTATGCACTCTTGGTGGCAGGATCCTAACTGCAGTTATCAGGAGGGGGGTCTACCTTATCTAGATGTCTCTACTTAGAACAACACCTACAGGGACCTTTCCTCGGGGTTTTAGGAAGATAATACAAGAATGCCTGAAGATAACTGATCCTACACTAGGAAATAAGAAATAAATTCAATTTCGTTCAACCCAATCATGGAACATTTCTGCAAAATAATCAGTGGGGCGCAATCATTTACAAATGCAGATTTTTTTTATTGTGAAATGTGAAAGTCTTCAATCAGATGTGGTGACGATAATTATTTCTTTTCCTCAGCTTCTACTGGTCGTATTCTATATTCCATACTGTTTTTGTCCTATGCCAGAAAGTACTGTCCATAAATTCATCTGCAATTGCTCAAATTTCAATTTTAAAACAGGGAATTAGTGTGGCATTCAGATTCTTTATTTCAAAAGCTTTGCACTAAACATGTGCTCTCAGTTATTACTTAATCCTAGAATTGCTCCTTTTCCCATATGACTGGTCTGTCTTCCTTCTCCTGCAACCTTACTACTTTCTCTTCATTTTACCCTTGAATGTGTGCTCTGTATTCACTCCCAAGGGGAGATGGAAAGACAGAAGAGCTAAAGAATATTAAGTAGAGAATTGAGAAAGTATTCCCTCCCTTTTTCATGGGCAGATTAACTTCCCACTTGTGTCCAAATTAGAAATGATTACCCCCACTGGTCTTATATTTGCACACTATAATGCTTCCTGCATGATTGTATTAAAATATTTCATTATCTCTTGTACTTCTGGGATTTTACTGACTTGTCTTTTTGGCTACCCATGAATAGTGGTAGATAAAACCATGAATGTATATGTGATAGCCTAATGAGGACATGTACAACCAGTAGAGAGAGACTTGATGATTGAATCCTGGTAAACAAAACTACACATGGAAGAGAACTGGCAGATGAGAGTAAGAAGGAATTACTGCATTCTACTCTGGTCCTTGAGGGGAATCAATTCCATTCTCTCTCCCCACCACCTTTTTTTTTTCTAAAATGCTCGTAAAACCATTTATTTAGTAATACATTCCAGAATTCTACTGGAGATGGAGGTTAAGCTCACTGATCTATAGTTTCTAGAATTTCTGGGACATTTGCCCATTTCACCCCTGGCACATCTCCCAGACTCTGTTATTCCTCAGTGACTACACAGAAAGGCTCTGAGTTCACTTCTGTGTGTTCCTCAATATTTCTAAGCACCATTCATGTGTTCCTTGAGGCTTCTGTCCAACTACAGGACTGGGTAGTCTATCGCCATCTTCTCACCTCACTTCTTCTGAAATCTAAATTCTGAATTTTCTTACTAACCTCAGAAGCTATCTTAACTCTGTTCTTTGAAACAGGAAATATTAGGGAAAATGAGAAGTTCTTAAATTTTATGGAAAACAAATAAAAAAGGACATGTAACACAAAAGTTATTTCATCTACCTATATTAAATTTAACACCCCAAATTTGATTAATTTTATAGTAAATGGAGTAATGCTTTGAATCTATTTTAGTTATTTATTTACTTTTTTTTTAATTTCTGAGATTTTGGTGCCCCCATCACCCAAGCAGTATACACTGTACCCATTGTGTAGTCTTTTTTCTCTCACACCCCCCCACACCCTTTCCCCTAAGTCCCCAAAGTGCGATATATCATTCTTATGCCTTTGCATCCTTATAGCTTAGCTCCCACTTATGAGTGAGAATATATGATGTTTGGTTTTCCATTCCTGGGTCACTTCACTTAGAATAATAGCCTCAAATTCCACCCAGTTTGCTGCAAATGCCACTATTTTGTTCCATTTTATGGCTGAGTAGTATTTCATGGTGTATATATATCTATATCTATATCTATATCACATTTTCTTTATTCACTCATAGATTGATGGGCATTTGGGCTCATCCTACATTTTTGCAATTGCCAATTGTGCTGCTATAAACATGCATGTGTAAGTATCTTTTTCTTATAATGACTTCTTTTCCTCTGGGTAGACACCTAGTAATGGGATTGGTGGATCAAATGGTACATAACTCTCAGTTCTTTAAGGAATCTCCACACAGTTTTCCTTAGTGGTTGTACTAGTTTACATTCCTACTGACAATGTATATGTGTTCCCTTTTTACAACATCTTTTTTTTTAATTTTTTTGATTATGGCCATTCTTGCAGGAGTAAGCTGGTATCATATTGTGGTTTTGATTTGCATTTCCCTGATATTAGTGATGTTGAGCAATTTTCCATATGCTTATTGGCCATTTGCATATCTTCTTCTGAGAATTGACTATTCATATCCTTAGCCCACTTTTTTATGGGATTGTTTGTTTTTTTCTTGTGATCTGATTGAGTTATTTGTAGATTCTGGATATTAGTTCTTTGTCTGCTGTATAGATTGTGAAGATTTTCTCCCACTCTGTGAGCTGTCTGTTAACCCTGCTGATTATTTCTTTTGCTGTGCAGAAGCTTTTAAGTTTAATTAAGTCCCATCTATGTGTCTTTGTTTTTCTCCTACTTGCTTTGGGCTCTCAGTCATGAAGTCTTTGCCTAAGCCACAGTCTAGAAGGGTTTTTCTGATGTTATCTTATAAAATTTTTATGGTTTCAGGTCTTAGATTTAAGCATTTGATTAATCTTGAGTTGATTTTTGTATAAGGTGAGAGATGAGGATCCAGTTTCATTCTTCTACGTGTGACTTGCCAATTATCCCAGCACTATTTGTTGAATAGCGTGTCCTTTCCCACTTTATGCTTTTGTTTGCTTTGTCAAAGATCAGTTGGCTGTAAGTATTTGGCTTTATCTCTGAGTTCCCTATTTTGTTCCATTGGTCTATATGCTTATTTTTATACCAGTACCATGATGTTTTGGTGACTATGGCCTTGTAGTATAGTTTGAAGTCAGGTAATATGATGCCTCTAGATTTGTTTTTTTCGCTTAGTCTTGCTTTGGCTATGTGGGCTCTTTTTAGGTTCCATATGAATTTTAGGACTGTTTTCTCTAGTTCTGTGAAGAATGATGGTGGTATTTTGATGGGAATTACATTGAACTTTTATATTGCATTTGGCAGTATAATCATTTTTACAATATTGATTCTACCCATTCGTGAGCATGGGATATGTTTCCATTTGTTTGTGTTGTTTATGGTTTCTTTCAGCAGTGTTTTGTAGTTTTTCCTTGTAGAAGTCTTTCACCTCCTTGGTTAGGTATATTCCTAGGTATTTTATTTTATTTTTTGTAGCTATTGTAAAAGGGGTTGGGTTCTTGATTTGATTCTCTACTCGGTTGCTGTTGGTATGTCGCAAGCTGCTGATTTTTGTACATTAATTTTGTAACTTGAAACTTTGCAGAATTCATTTACCAGTTCTGGAAGGTTTTTGGATGAGTCTTTAGGGTTTTCTAGGTATTTGATCATATTATCAGCAAACACTGACAGTTTGACTTCTTCTTTAATGATTTGGATGCCCTTCATTTCTTTCTCTTGTCTGATTGCTCTGGCTAGGGCTTCCAGTACTATGTTGAATAGAAGTAGTGAAAGCGGGCATCCTTGTCTTGTTCCAGTTCTCAGGGGGAATGCTTTCAGCTTCTCCCCATTCAGTAAAATGTTGGCTGTGGGTTTGTCAGAGATGGCTTTTATTACCTTAAGCTATGTCCCTTCTATGCTGATTTTGCTGAGGGTTTTTTTTTTTTTTTTTTTTTTTTGAGACAGAGTCTTGCTCTGTCATCCAGACTGGAGTACAGTGGAGAGATCTTGGCTCACTGCAAGTTCTGCCTCCTGGGTTCACACCATTCTCCTGCCTCAGCCTCCCAAGTAGCTGGGACTACAGGCACCTGCCACCATGCCTGGCTAATTTTTTGTATTTTTAGTAGAGACAGGGTTTCACCATGTTAGCCAGGATGGTTTCAATCTCCTGACCTTGTGATCTGCTCGCCTCAGCCTCCAAAGTGCTGGGATTATAGGCTTGAGCCATTGTACCCAGCCGCTGAGGGTTTTAATCATAAAGCGATGCTGGATTTTGTCAAATGCTTTTTCTGCATATATTGCAATGGTCATGTGAATTTTCTTTTTAATTCTGTTTAGGTGATGTAATACATTTATTGACTTATGTGTGTTAAACCATCCCTGCATCCCTGGTGTGAAACCCACTTGATCATTTTGGATTATCTTTTTGATATGCTGTTGAATTAGGGTCGCTAGTATTTTGTTGAGGAATTTTGCATCTATGTTAATTAGGGACATTGGTCTGTAGCTTTTGTTGTTGTTGTTAATTCCTTCCCTGATTTTGGTATTAGGGTGATACCAGTTTCTTAGAATGATTTAGGGAGGATTCCTTCTTTCTCTATCTTTTGGAATAGTACTAATAGGATTAGTCCCAATTCTTCTTTGAATGTCTGATAGAATTCAGTTGTGAATCCATCTGGTCCTGGACTTGTATTTTTTTAATTTAATTTAATTTTATTATGATTATACTTTAAGTTTTAGGGTACATGTGCACAAAGTGTAGGTTATTACATATGTATACATGTGCCATGCTGGTGTGCTGCACCCATTAACTCATCATTTAGCATTAGGTATATCTCCTAATGCTATCCCTCCCCCCTCCCCCCACCCCACAACAGTCCCCAGAGTGTGATGTTCCCCTTCCTGTGTCCATATGTTCTCATTGTTCAATTCCCACCTATGAGTGAGAATATGCGGTGTTTGGTTTTTTGTCCTTGCAATAGTTTACTGAGAATGATGATTTCCAATTTCATCCACGTCCCTACAAAGGACATGAACTCATCATTTTTTATGGCTGCATAGTATTCCATGGTGTATATGTGCCATATTTTCTTAATCCAGTCTATCATTGTTCGACATTTGGGTTGGTTCCAAGTCTTTGCTATTGTGAATAGTGCCGCAATAAACATACGTGTGCATGTGTCTTTATAGCAGCATGATTTATAGTCCTCTGGGTATATACCCAGTAATGGGATGGCTGGGTCAAATGGTATTTCTAGTTCTAGATCCCAGAGGAATCGCCACACTGACTTCCACAATGGTCGAACTAGTTTACAGTCCCACGAACAGTGTAAAAGTCTTCCTATTTCTCCACATCCTCTCCAGCACCTGTTGCTTCCTGACTTTTTAATGATTGCCATTCTAACTGGTGTGAGATGGTATCTCATTGTGGTTTTGATTTGCATTTCTCTGATGGCCAGTGATGATGAGCATTTTTTCATGTGTTTGTTGGCTGCATAAATATCTTCTTTTGAGAAGTGTCTGTTCATGTCCTTTGTCCACTTTTTGATGGGGTTGTTCTTTTTTTTCTTGTAAATTTGTTTGAGTTCATTGTAGATTCTGGATATTAGCCCTTTGTCAGAACCATGCTCATGGATAGGAAGAATCAATATTGTGAAAATGGCCATACTGCCCAAGGTAATTTATAGATTCAATGCCATCCCCATCAAGCTACCAGTGACTTTCTTCACAGAATTGGAAAAAACTACTTTAAAGCTCATATGGAACCAAAAAAGAGCCTGCATGGCCAAGTCAATCATAAGCCAAAAGAACAAAGCTGGAGGCATCATGCTACCTGACTTCAAACTATACTACAAGGCTACAGTAACCAAAACAGCATGGTACTGGTACCAAAACGGAGATATAGATCAATGGAACAGAACAGAGCCCTCAGAAATAACGCCACATATCTACAACTATCTGATCTTTGACAAACCTGACAAAAACAAGCAATGGGGAAAGGATTCCCTATTTAATAAATGGTGCTGGGAAAACTGGCTAGCCATATGTAGAAAACTGAAACTGGATCCCTTCCTTACACCTTATACAAAAATTAATTCAAGATGGATTAAAGACTTAAACTTTAGACCTAAAACCATAAAAACCCTAGAAGAAAACCTAGGCATTACCATTCAGGACATAGGCGTGGGCAAGGACTTCAGGTCTAAAACACCAAAAGCAATGGCAACAAAAGCCAAAATTGACAAATGGGATCTAATTAAACTAAAGAGCTTCTGCACAGCAAAAGAAATTACCATCAGAGTGAACAGGCAACCTACAAAATGGGAGAAAATTTTTGGCATTTTTTGCCAAAAAAATTTATAAATCTTTTCAAAGGACCAGCTTACTGTGTCATTTATCTTTTGAGACTTTTTTTGTTTCAATTTCATTTAATTCTGTTCTGATCTTCATTATTTGTTTTCTTCTGCTGGGTTCGGGTTTGAATTGTTCTTGTTTCTCCAGTTCCATGAAGTGTGACCTTAGATTGTCTATTTGTGCTTATCCAGACTTTTTGAAATAGGCACTTAATGCTATGAACTTACCTCTTAGTACCACTTTTGCTGCATCCCAGAGGTTTCAATAGATTGTGTCACTATTATCACTCAGTTCAAAGAACTTTTCAATTTCCAGCTTGATTTCATCATTGGCCCAGTGATCACTCAGGAGCAAGTTATTTAATTTCCTTGTATTTGCATGGTTTGAGGGTTCTTTTGCAGTTGATTTCCAATTTTATTCCACTGTGGTCTGAGAGGGTAGTTGATATAATTTCAATTTTCTAAAATTTACTGAGAATAGTTTTGTGGCCTGTCATATGAACTATCTTGGAGAATGTTCCATGTGCTGATGAATAGAATGTGTATTCTGTAGTTGTTGGGTAGAATGTTCCGTAAATATCTGTTAAGTTCATTTGTTGTAGGGTGTAGTTTATGTCCATTGTTTCTTTTTTGACTTTATGTCTTGATGACAGTGCTGTCAGTGGAATAGTAAAGTCTCTCACTATCATTGTGTTGCTGTCTATCTCATTTATTAAGTCTACTAGTAATTATTTTCTAAATTTGGAAGCTTCAATGTTAGGTGAATATATATTTAGGATTGTGATGTTTTCCTGTTGGACTAGTCCTTTTGTCATTATATAATGTCCCTCTTTGTCTTTTTAAACTGTTGTTGCTTTAATGTTTGATTTGTCACATTTAAGAACAGCTACTCCTGCTTGCTTTTTGTTTCCATTTGCATGGAATATCTTTTTCCATTCATTTTCCTTAAGTTTATGTGAGTCCTTATGTGTTAGGTGAGTCTCCCAAAGACAGCAGAAACTTGGTTTGTAAATTCTTATCCATTCTGCCATTATGTATATTTTAAGCAGAGCATTTAGGGCATTTACATTCAATGTTAGCATTTAGATGTGAGATACTATTCTAGTCATCATGCTATTTGTTGTCCGAATACCTTTTTTTAAAAATTGTGTTATTGTTACATAGATCCTGTGAGATTTATGCTTTATGCTTTAAGGAGGTTCTATTTTGATGTATTTCAAGGATTTGTTTCAAGGTTTAGAGCTCCTTTTAGCAGTTCTTGTAATGCTGGCTTGGCAGTGGTGAATTCTTTCAGCATTTGTTTGTCTGGAAAAGACTGTATCCTTCCTCCATTCCTGAAGCTTAGTTTTGCTGGATACAACATTCTTGGCTGATAATTGTTTTGTTTAAGGAGGCTAAAAATAGGACACCAATACCTTCTAGCTTGTAGGGTTTCTGCTAAAAAATCTGCTCTTAATCTGATAAGTTTTCCTTTATAGGTTACCCAATGCTTTTGCCCCACAGCTCTTAAGATTCTTTCCTTTATCTTGACTTTAGATAACCTGATGACTATATGCCTAGGTGATGATTTTTTGCAATGAATTTCCCAGGTGTTCTTTGAGCTTCTTGTATTTGAATGACTAGATCCCTAGCAAGGCTCAGGGAGCTTTCCTTGAAAAATTTTAAAAGTTTTTCAAACTTCTAAATTTCTCTTCTTTCTAAGGAACACCAATTATTCTTAGGTTTGGACACTTAACATAGTCCCAAACTTCTTAGAGGCTTTGTTCATTTTTTATTATATTTTTTCTTCATTTTTGATGGATTAGGCTAATTTGAAAGCTTTGTCTTTGGGCTCTGAAGTTCTTTCTTCTGCTTGTTCAATTCTATTGCTGGGACTTTCCAGTGCATTTTTCATTTCTCTTAGTGTGCCTTTGATTTCCAGAAGTTATGATTGTTTTTTATTTATGCATCTATTTCACTGAAGATTTTTCCCTTCATATCTTGAATCATGTTTTTTATTTCTTTAAATTGGACTTCATCTGTCTCTGATGCCTCCCTGATTAGTTTAATAAATGACCTTCTGAATTCTGTTTCTGGCAACCGAGAAATTTCATTTTGGTTTGGATTCATTGCTGGTGAGCTGGTGTGATCTTTTGGGGGTGTTAAAGAACCTTGTTTTGTCATGTTATCAGAATTGGTTTTCTGATTCCTTCTCATTTGGGTAGACTATGTCAGAGGAAAGATCTGGGACTCAAGGGCTGCTGTTTAGAATTTTTGTCCCACACAGTGCTCCCTTGATGTGATATTTTCCCCCTTCCTTTAGGAATGGTGCTTCCTGAGAGCTGAACTGCACTGATTGTTTTTGCTTTTCTGGGTCTAGTCACCTGCCAGAGCTACTGGGATCAAGGTTGCTACTGGGTAGTGTCTGCAAAGAGTCCTGTGATGTGATCTGTCTTCAGGTCTTTCAGCTGTGGATACCAGCACCTGCTCTGGAGGTACCAGGGGGGTGAAATGGACTCTGTAAGGGTCCTTGATTATATTTTTGTGTTGTGCACTGGTTTTGTGTTGGTTGGCCTCCAGCGAGGAGGTGGCACTTTCAAGAACGCATGAGCTGCTGTAGTATAGGAAGGATGTGAACTTGCCCTAAGGACACCCACTTAAGTAATCAGGTTTCTCAGGCATTGGGCAGGGCCATAGAGCTCCCAAGAGATTATGACCTTTGTCTTTGACTACCAGGGCAGGTGGAGAAAGACCATCAGGTGAGGGTAAGGATAGGTGTGTGTCTGAGCTCAGATTCTCCTTTGGCAGGCAGGACTTGCTGTGACTGCTGTGGGGGATGGGGGTGTGGTTCCCAGGCCAATGGAGTTATGCTATGTTCCCAGGGGGATTATGACTGCCTCTGCTGAGTCATATGGGTCGCCAGGGAAGTGGAGGAAAGCTGGCAGTCACAGGCCTCACCCTGCTCTCACATAGCCCGTAGTCCTAAACACTGATTTCACTCCCATTTTGTTCCCCCAACAGCACCAAGTCTATTTGCAGGCAACTGGCGACCAGGATTGAGAACTTGCCCCAGACCACAAGCCCCCCCACTGAGAAATCAAGCAGACTCACAGTTTCGTGGCATCTCAGGGAGCCTACAGCATTGATCCAGTTTCTTCAAAGGTTCTGTGGATTCTCTTGGCTTTCCTGATATGTTCATGCAGTAGTTCTTGGAGCAAAAGTTCACAATGTGAGTCTCCACTTGCTGCTCTGTCCATCCGAGTGAGAGCTGCAAGCTAGTCCTGCCTCGTCTCTGCCATCTTAATTGATAATCCTGAATCTATTTTATTTAATGTTCTATTATAACATTATTCTTTAAAGCTGCTGTTCTCCATTACCCCTCCTCACTCTTAAAGTCTCAACTGGATTTTACCTCTGTTGTAATTTCTTCCATGGTCACAACCTTAAGTTGTTCAGGACTAGGTTTAGTTTCATATACTAGAAGCCCATCAAAACAATGGTTTAAACTAGCTGGACATTTACAGTTCTCATAAATGAAGGAAGTCCAGTCATGAGTGAGGACTCATGGTAGCTCCATAGTCATCTGGGATGAAGGCACATTCTCTCTTGCTGCTCCATTATTCTTAGCATTTAGTTTCATGGCCTTTGATGGCTGCTTCAGTGATAGCCTTCACTTTTTCATTTCATTCAACAGGAATGAGAAAGTGGCCACAGGCAACCTTTCCCTTTAAGGAGATTTTCTAGAAGTCCCTATGCAATATAGTACTTCTATCATATCACACAGGCACTCAGCCACTCAGCTATAAGAGAGACCAGGGCATGTAGTCCTTTAACTGTTACCATTAAAAATATAGTTTGAGAAAGAAAAGGAGAATAAATTTCTGGCAGACTACCAGCCATCTTTGCCATATTGTCATTCCTGAATTCATATTATACTTATCAGAAATACCATTTAGTTAAGAATAATTTTAAACAGCTTTGTTCTCTTGAACTTGAGAGTAATAATTTTATAGTCTTATGCTTATTCACATAACATGCCCAGCTTCATAATTGCTTCTTAGCTCATCACAGAATATTTTTGAATATGTAAGTTCCAACTTTTCTCAGGATTGTTCATTAATCTTTCATAGGAGTCAGGGACATTGGAGGTGACCAAGAATCACTTAATTTTTACTTTGAGTTATTCATTGTTTACTATCGCTGAGAGGTAAGAAATTTCTGTTTGGATTTGGTAAATCCCAATAAAAAGTCATTAGAGAAAAACAACTTTTAAAATCTCACTTACAGATATTAATACATCTTCCATGAACTTAATACAATTCCTATGTGGAAAAAAATATGCTGGATAGTTTATCCTCCCATCTGAAAATAAAATTGTCGTATAGAATGGTGCTGCCCAGCATGCTGTTTTCTCCTTTCTCTTTGCCTGTTTTATCTCTGGGTTTATTAGGGATCTCCTTCTGCTACCTCCTCATTATATATTATAGGTAACAGTTTGTAGGTTCTCTTGTCCCCTGACTCTACTCTCTAAGAGACAATATGTACTCTACAGGTTCAATTGCCACCCATGGATAGATTGATGCATGCATTTCTCCCATGCAGGCCTTTGCTCTGAGTTGTAGACTTACTCATCTCCTTGTCCAATATCTTCTGTTGAAAGTCCCAAATACATCTCAAATTTAATAAGTCCCAAATTAAACTCATGATCTCCAGCCTGTCATTTCTGCCTCCATCTTAAAGTCTTCTTCAGATATTGCCTATTCAATGGTTGCCAACACCATCCATCTGGTTGCAGAATCTAAACATCAAGTCATCATCTTTGATACCTACCTTCACATCTCCAACCCTTCATAAGTTCTATTGACTTTACCACCTCAGTTACACTTAAATTCAGTTTTCTCCATCTTTACAGGCACAATATTATCTCGGGTGACTATCAACTTTCACTTACCCTGCTTACCTCTTAACTGTCTTTTCCATCTACCCCTACCCAGCCCATTCCCTACATTATGTCTAAAATGTACTGACCCACATAATGCCTACTCATCTTCAGATCACTGGTCAATCGTACTATTTATGGACATGATACCAAAGTTTGCAACCAGGTTAAATTCTCCTCTTATGTGCTCTCACGGCAGTCCACGCCAGCATTTCTCTCCTCCATAGGACTTATTTATTTCAGGAAATCCTGATTAATAGGAATTTTTACAAGATCTGGGATCACATTTCTTTTCACTCACCATTGTGTCCCCAGTACTCAGAATATCTCCTGGCCCATAGGAAGCGTTCAATAACCATTCCATAAATGAATGGAGGATTTAAAGACTGATGCCTCTTTTTAATGATGCAGATGAGGTTTAAACAAATCTTCTAAACCTGGTGAAGCAGCACTGGCCCTATGGGTTTGAGCTGCGCTTTGTATGTACCTATGGGCAAAGGCATGTCTGTTGTGGCTTCTATTTGTTCACAGGCCATCAAGGAAAAACAGAGTTGACTCTAAGCCAAATTATGGAGCTTTTTGTGCCCTTTCTGTTTCATTTTGATGCCTTGGTTGCAGTCTTTTTTGCTCCCTTTTCTTAAACTCTTTCCTTTCCATTAAAACAGGAAAGCACCTGACACCAAATATTCACACTTATTTTCATCATCAGTCTCTGCTTTCTGTGCCATTTTTTCTCCTTGGTATTGACCCTTTACCTTCTCACCTTCAGGCTTTCCCATTTTAAGTATCTATCTCCCTCCATTAAAATATATGATTCTGATGGTAGTCATTTTCAATTTCTTTGCCTTTCATTTTTCTGAGCTTCCTTCTAGGAGGGATCTGGCAGATTTCTGGGCTAGAGTTGCTGCAAACTCATTCTAGGGGTTTGTTGAGGAAGAGAAGGATGGGTCCTGTTGTCACTGACTTCTGCCAGGACTCATTCTATCAGAGCTGCTGTGAATGGTTGATGTAGGGTTTTCCTTGCACAAGAACACTTGGCCAAGTGCGGGGGAGGCACAAAAAAAATTTGGAGTGGATGTATCATGTATTGCCTTTATTGTGGTGATGGTTTCACAGGTGTATCCATATGTCTAGACTCATCAAATTATGCACATCATATATGTGTAGTTTTTTATATATTGATTATATCTTAATAAGCCCCTTAAAAAAGAAGCGATTATAAGAGCCAGTGGCAGTGCTGTAGACTGTGTTCTGTTCTCCTGTGGGACTTTCAATAAGGCTTTTTCCAACCACGACATTTCAGCAAGCCTTGTCTTGTTCTCCCTACCTTCCTCAAACTCCTCTTGGTTCTTCTTCTCAGCTCCCATCCTGTCCTCCTTTCTCTCACAACTCCTAAATTTACATTTTACAGTCTCTACTAATTCTGACAGGATACTGTTATATATTTATTTCCATAAATTTGTCTGTTATTTTTATTGAAGTTATACTTGCACACATTGAAAAGTCAAATGGTTCTATAAGGTTTCCTATGAGAAATAGCAGACTCTTACCTGTTTTACCTCACCATTTTCTGCTCCTCATTCAAACATATGTTCAACAAGTATTTATTGAGCATCTTCTATATGTCACACACTGTTGTAGGTGCTTGGGATTCATTAGTGAATAAAATAGGTAAAATTGCTTAGATAGAATTTATATTCTATCAGAGTGGGAAGGCACAGACAAAAGACAATAAGTACCCTAAATAAAGTATACAGTATGTGTGATTGTACTAGGAATGGTGGGGGAAAATAGAGCAAGAGGGGATGAATCATGAGCACAGGAAAGATGTAGAGATAGAGTAGTCACATGAGCCTTATTTAAAAATACCTGAGGTAATGAGAGATTAACCATGCACATTTCTGGGCAAAGTGTGGTCCAGGCAGACCTGACAACACAGAAGAATTAAGTAAGCAGCAATGCTTGGTGTGTATACAGAAGTCTAGAAAGCCTGTATGGCTGGAGTGGAGTCAGCCAAAGGTAAGGTAAGCCATGAGAACAGAGCTAAGGGAGGAGCAAATCATGTAAAGCATTGGAAGTCAGGACAACAGTTTATATATAACTCTTGCAGTAGTTTCTATTGTTAGTTACCATATATTGTGAATTAATGATTTTGTGAGTTTTTTTTTGTTTTTTAGGTTTTTAGGTAATTTATGTATTTACTTCCCATTTTAGATGACAGAATTTAACTCTTTCACCTCCTTGTATCCACCATCAACACACATTATCCTCTTCCCCTTTCCTGATATATATGGTAATTTTATTTAGATCAATATTAATGATTCCATTATTATAACTACATAAATCTTATTCATAATTGATCTCTGTAGATAATTTCTATCATTTTATTTCTGTGGGGTGGTTTTCATATCCCAGTAGTTCTCAATGTGTCATGCCGGGACCTTGGGGGTCCCCAAGATTCTTGCAGGAGTTCACAAAGCTATAACTGCTTTCCCAACAATGCCGATATATTATTTGGCTTTTCACTGTGTTGCTATTTGCACATTAATGGTACAAAAGCAACAGTGGTAAAACTTCTGGTACTTTTTAGCTCAAATAAAAACAGTGGCACCAAACCATTAAAGTCATCTTGTAGCTCTTCACTTCAAAGCACTCTCAGTAGAAAAATAAAACAAAAGCAAACAAAAGCAAAACACAGCACGAAGTCAATTTCACATACGAATGGCATTAGTGAATCAGTGAAAATTAATTGTATTAAATCTCAGTCCTTAAGTATATGTTCTTTCAATATTGCAGATGATGAAATAAGAGGTTTTAAAAAAGCATTTCCTCCGCTACTGAAGTACTATAGTTATCTCAGGGAAAAACATTTTGTAATTGAGTTGCAATCTGAACTAGCTACTTGTTTCAGGAAGCAAAATTCTTACTGGAGAGAACAAATTACAAATAAGCAGTTGAAAGACATTTCCTTTTTTTTTTTCTTTCTTTTCTTTAGACACAGGTTCTTGCCATGTCACCAGGCTGGAGTGCAGTGGTGTAATCATAGTTCACTGTACCTCAAACTCCTGGGCTCAAATGATCCTCCTGCCTCAGCCTCCTAAGTACAAAGTGTGTGAGCCTGCCACTTAAAGGAAATCAATAGATGGTATTTTTTTGCCAATAATAAATTTCGAGCTTTCAAATGAAAATCAGAATTTTGGAAAACGTGTCTGCCACCATGAGCTTGATCACTTCCCAATACTTAAAGACTTTTCTGATGATATTAGTGGTGATATGAATGAATATGATTTTTTGATATTGTATAAATGAAAGATTTTAACATTTGGAAGACCTGCATAACTCAGCCGATATTTTTCAAATGGTTAATGATCATATTACAAAATTGTGCAGAGTACAAGATCCATTGAAAGTACAAGATAGACTACTAGGTTTTAATATAAGAGGATAAAAAGTTTATTGATATGGTCTCAGATTCCTCATTGCAACTAACTTTTAAAAAACTTCTGCTCTGGGTTTTGGTGTAGCATCAAAGAATAATGTATAATGTTAAAAAAGATTATGAAAAGATTCTTTCTTTTTATGATCAATATCTCTGTGGACCCAGATTTTTCTTTACATACTTCATATAGTTGAATTGAACGCATGAAGTGCAGAAGCAGATAAGAGAATCCAGCTGTCTTCAAGTCAGCCAGGCATTCAAGAAATTTGCAAAAAATGTAAAACAATGCTATTCTCACTAAATTTTCTTGTTTTGAAAAATACGTTACTTTTCCTTAAAACTTTTTTTTTTGTTAACCGACAATGAGTTTATTATTATTTTAAATAGAAAAATAAATGTAAAATGATATTTTAAATGTCTAATAGGCATATTTCAAATATTTTAACAAAGAAAAGATATTTGGGATAGTTAATAATTTCCAAGGGTGTAAAGCAGTCCTGATCCCAAGAAAAGTTTGGAAATCACTGTGCTATAGGACAACTGGGGATGGCTGTCTCACTTTGCAGCCTACAGCATCCAATCTCTACCCCCCTGAAAGCTCTGTACACAGCATTTTGGTTCTTTTTTGTTGACACACAAAGGATACTTTAAGAGGAACTTTTAAATTACTATAAAGTCTGAAAATGGTTTGCATATTGAGTAGAACCCTGATACATGTCCGCTTCACTGCTGGCAACCACAGCACCAGGTGTCCCATTTGGCTGTGCTTCGCATGGATCAAATACTCAGAAAACAGGCATGGGTCAGCTCCACAGCTGAAGCACAACAGAAATTTGAATCCCTTTGCCACAAAACTCCTTTTTTTTAGCCTTTAATTATCTTTTAAATGTTTTCTTAAATACCTTTCTTTCTGTAGAACATGATAATTCAGAAGCAATTTTCTTGTCATCATGTTTTCTTTCTTCTTGTAATTTTTCAAGTACTTGGGTGATGATAAAGGGAGGTGGGGGCACATGCTATGAAAAGGTTTTGTTCTAAAACAAGTTGTGCAGCTAACTTTTTGAGTTATTTAATGAAAATATTTATCTTCTCTCAAAAATGGGAGTATTAAATGTGGGGTTACACTGACCGCAAAACTGTAATGAAATGATCTCTGTGAAGCCCTAATTTCAACCATTTGATGAAAAGCAACTTGAACAAATGAAGACCAAGGTTTTATTTATTTATTTATTATTTTTTATTTTTATAAAGTGCTGGGATTACAGGCATGAGCCGCTGCGCCCAGCCTGTTTTAGGATTTTTTGACTGTATAATGGTGTGAAAACAAAACATGAGTACCTTACGACTATTCTTTTTCATTTTCAGTAGAGTATGCAATAAATTACATGAGATATCCAACACTTTTTTTTGTTTTGTTTTGTTTTGTTTTGAGACAGAGTCTTGCCCTGTCATCAGGCTGGAGTGCAGTGGCTGATCTCAGCCCACTGCAACCTCCGCCTCCCAAGTTCAAGCGATTCTCCTGCCCCAGCCTCCCGAGTAGTTGGGACTACAGGCACACGCCACCAAGCCCAGCTAATTTTTGTATTTTTAATAGAGACAGGGTTTCATCATGTTGGCAAGGATTGTGTCCATCTCTTGACCTCGTGATCCGCCCACCTTGGCCTCTCAAAGTGCTGGGATTACAGGCGTGATTACATGCTGGGATTACAGCCAACCCACCTGACTTTGTTTTTTTTTTTTTTTAAGATGTGTCCATCTTCCTACATGCTTGGCTAGAGACTGACATTGCTTTGTGACAGTAGTTATCTACTCCAATGCTCAGTGCTGTTGACAGTGACAGCATAGGCAGGGTGCCCTACTCTATTTTAATAATTTAAGTAATTTGAATACCTGTCTTCTATGTAACCATAACTTGGGGTAAAAAATTTCTATTGTCTGAAAATCTTTCAAAATGCTCCAAAACATGCTAGACTGCAGGTAAAGTGGTGTGTTTTTTTACATACAAGGAGAGATGTTGAAGCTATTTTAATAATTTTTATTATTCTGTGGTGAGATAACATTTTTAAAGGTCATCATCAGCTTTCATTGTAGGACCGTAAGTAAGTGAAGAGAATTCTCTGCATTACTTTAGTAGTTCAAGGTCCAAGAAGCCTACCTATGGGTGTATTTTCAAATAAACCTGGCAAATTTTTCTTTTGTACAATGTTCTTTTTCTAGGGAATAAGAGATTCTTGTGTTTCTTTTTGAAATGATAGATCAGTCTCTGAGGTCAACAAAACAGATGTGATTGCTGCAAGGTTTGCAAATGTTCCATTGTGCGAGGGGTACCTGGGGTTAGTCACTGCCCTGGAGAAGCTTTTCTAGAATGTTCCTAAAATTGGTATAGTAGACAAGGTGAAGCTCAAGGTCAGGCAAGGTTTGGAGACTGCAGCTATGGCCCTGCTGAGCCTTATAACTCTGCAGAGGAAGAGAAAGTAAGTTTAAGCAAGGCTCAACTCACCAGGAGCTGACTTGGGGCAATAAATAAACAAATAATCTATACAGAACACTCGCCGTTTACATTAGAAAATTGACTGCAGAAGCTAGATTCAGCTTGGAATCAAAGAGGGAAAAATGCTTTTATGAATAAGGTTGAGTAATGGCCACAACTCACCAGAGTTTGTGCACCTTGTTACCAACCAATATTAGCAGTGTATGACTTTCTTTCTCTTCAAATTCTTCCTCATTGACATCTCAAACTGCCCTTTAGTTTTTCTGATTATATCAGTAAATGACTCTGCTATCTGATAATGGATTTTTTAATAACTTAGCTCTTAATTGCTTTTGTCCTAGTCAGAAAAGGAAAAAAAATTCTTTGTCCTCAGAAAAAAGGATAAATTATTGGGGCAAATGGGTATTTATACTGCATCAGGTCAATCTTATATTTCAATATTCTCTTTCTCTCCCCTGGAAAAAGAAAGCATTTAATATGACATCTATCAGATGATGTACCAGGGTATGTTACCAAAACAACAATGGACTACATGCTATTTCCTGTAGCGTGATGGTGTGTGATGATTATTATAAAGTGCTAACAACTCTTTTCTTTCAATTGAGTTTGGATGCACATGTGATTTTACTTTCATTAAAAACAAAAATTTACAAGAAAAAAAAGCTGCAAATATTCAAAGCCCTTGCCAAATAGCAGAATGAGGCACACATCATGACCTTCTCCCTTCAGGACAGGACATGGAACACTTTTATATTACTTACAAACCAGGGCTGATAATGACATGGCATTCCATGGGGAGAATTTAGATTCCAGAAACTTCTGCCTTGGGAATACAGAATCATGTGGTCTCGTCACTGGAAGATACTTCTCCAATATTATCTTTATGTATTTTGCTAATATAACTAATTATAATGTATATACATTTTGGGGGTCAAAATCCTTCATCAGAATCATAGACTTTTTAAGTTAGTGTAGACCTCAGCAGGTCATCAGATTCAACACAGTGGTCTTCAGACAGTAAAGTTATTAGTCCTACTTTGCTGGCCCACCTCCTACACAACTAAAAAGACAAGTGTGTTCATAAAGAAATGCCCCCTCCTCTTTTCCCCATTCTTCTTTTTTTTTCTCTGCCATATATTTTTTTGTTCAACAGATTTCCTTTTTTTTTGAGATGGAGTTTCGCCCTGTCGCCCAGGCTGGAGTGCAGTGGTGCGATCTCCACTCACTGCAAGCTCCGCCTCCTGGGTTCACACCATTCTCCTGCCTCAGCGTCCCAAGTAGCTGGGACTACAGGCGCCCGCCACCACACCTGGTTAATTTTTTGTATTTTTAATAGAGACGGGGTTTCACTGTGTTAGCCAGGATGGTCTGGATCTCCCGACCTCATGATCCACCTGCCTCGGCCTCCCAAAGTGCTGGGATTACAGGCATGAGTCAACGTGCCTGGCCAGGAATACTTTATACAGCTAGGCAAGTACCCATGAAGGCCTACTATCTTTTCTTGTATACATAGTTAAAGAAAGTAAGATAATTTCCCCTAAGAATGAAATAATATGCAGATTTTTTAGTGTCAACTGATAAATTCTGAAAAATCTACCATGTTAGAATTACAACTCTGGAAGTTAATTATACTCATTATAATAGGGAAGGTCTCTGCACAGCTGTGGTGGAGTGAAGCATTTGAAATTGTGGACAAGGGCTAGCATCCTGCTATATAAACACATGGTCATCATGTTGATGTCAACAGAAACATAAGCAACCTCAGCTCTGTGATGTCCTAGAAAACATGCTGGGTAAATATTCAGGCAGAGGGTCTGTGCTTGGGTTCCTGAGAAATCTGTATACTTGGTGAACAATTTCTTGGCTACTCCACAATAATAGCAGCACACTTCATGGAATTACCTTTTAAAAAATTTATATATAGATAGATATATAACAACCTCTAGGAACTGATGCTTTTGATACCCTCATAAAAATATAAAAAAAAAAAGACCACACTGTACTTATAATTCAAGCATTCTGAAAATCCTAATAAAATTTTTGTCATCAGATAAATGATCTGCTGCTCAATTAAAATAAACTGTGCTGATTATGAATGCCTGGTCCCTGTTCAGGAGGCCACAGAATGGATTTCTATGAAGTACTCTCTGATTCACTGCTGAACTTGGCAGGGATAGAGGTTTGTCTTGGCCTTCTCCTCCATGCCTTTTCTCTGCGGCAAGAGAATAGCGCTGGGCTCATACTGAGGCTGGTGCTCCATCATGAGCACCACACCATCTGAGTTAACCAGCCCCAGTACAGCTTCATATGCACCCTCATGTTTTTCTCTTCAAGGGAGCTTAGCAAACAGGCTTCCTGCCAAATGAGTACATGGGTTAGTAAAATTGGGAGACATGATCATAATTGGAGAGCCTCAGTTCAAAGCATAATTAGTGTCATGTTTTATACTTGCATCTCTCCATGAAGAAAAGTGGGTCAAGTTCTCACCTGTCTGAGGAATGACCAAGAGTGAGATTGTGCAAATAAACTGCTTTATCCAAAGTCTCCAATTGGATGGGTCATCTGATATGATTTATCTGCGTAGAGGATGGATATAAAGAACTCCGGAAGTGAAAAGGAAATGGATAATTGCCTAAAAGCTGGTCATGCTCCAAGATTCTGAAACAAAAGGGAAGAAAAGTTTCCAGCAGAACTGCCTTGTTGTGGAGGCTGTTTGCTGAAAGTGACTTGTGGGAGTATCCCTCTTTTTAGGAAAGGGTGGCAGCCGAATCTGTCCATGGAGGTCATGAGGTGGTTGAAGACCCTAAGAGAGGAGGAGGCCCTGTCATGAATTTGCTCCATTCTTTATTCAGCTTTCCTGATACTTGAGTCACTAGGAAGGCTGGACAGCAAGAGAAGGACCCCAACAGATGATTCCCGTGCTCAATGTCCCTCTGCTCTCATGAAGAGGAGGATCAGGAAGGAGCAACCATGTGAAATCCCTCCCAGGCTAGGCACAAGAACCACCTGGCATAGACTTTGCTGTTCTTATTAAAGGCATCAGATGGTCAGAGCTTGTATAGAAATATATCTAAAACCATTCAAATCAGTCTGATTACATAACTCAAATGACAACTATACACTATAAATCTATATAAGATACAAAACTTTATCTGTAAACATATCTGAGAAATTTGACATTTGTATCCTCAGAATTATTATTAATCCTGCTCAGGGCTAATGTTGAAAAAGGTTATTAGATGGGCCAGGTGCAGTGGCTCATGCCTGTAATTCCAGCACTTTGGGAGGCTCAGGCGGGTGGATCAAGAGGTCAGGAGATTGAGACCATCCTGGCCAACATGGTGAAACCCCGTCTCTACTAAAAATACAACAATTAGCTGGGTGTGGTGGTGCTTGCCTGTAATCCCAGCTACTCGGGAGCTTGAGGCAGGAGAATTGCTTGAACTCGGGAGGTGGAGGTTGCAGTGAGCTGAGCTTGTGCCCCTGCACTCTAGCCTGGTGACAGAGCAAGACTCTGTCTCAAAAAAAAAAAAAAGTTATTAGAATAAAATTTATTTTTAAGAATAAAAAAATTTAGAAGCATGCTACTCCTTTTAAAATTGCAACTACTCACTAGTTGTGAGACATTTCATCCAAAACTCATAGTGGTTTCCTACAGTGACAAAAAATCAAGTCTGGGCTTCTCAGGACAGTATTTGAAAAGAATGCTACTGAGCTCTGGGAACACAGCTAATCCTTCTTTGATTATTATTATGCTCTTTTTCACTTTGATGGAAATTCTATGAGGGAAAACAAAAAACAAAACCAAAAAACCTAAGACTATCAGCAGCTTTTATTCACCTTTATGATTCTCCAGCTTATATGCTTATACATAACCTATGTCTTAATCTTACCTTGAGTGTCCAGGTTTGTGGTAATGATCCCTCCAAGGGGCCAATTCTGGATAATTCACAGTGAGACAAAACAAAGCTGTGTTTTAGCTTCTCTTCCCATTAATGACTTGCTACTACTTCTTGATGAGCTGGATATATTAGCTTCCTCACCACAACTCAGAGAAAGAAAAACATATCTCCTGTAGCATCCTTCCTCTTATAACATGATCTTATGGTCATGAAATAATAGAGCCATATGACATATCTTATCCTCTGATATAATCATTATCTGGATGTATGATTCTCAATTCACAATTTCAAAGCTCTAATCATAATTTTTAGTGCATATCTAATTGGATAATTAATACTGGTCACTTTGGATTATATTTTGCAGCCAGTTTATCCTATACAGGTCACTGGAAAATTCCATCACTTAAAAGTTAGATGTTTCATGAATATTGAAATTAAAAAGAACACTTCTGTGGACACAGCATGCTTTAGTAAACTGAAGATCATATTCTCTAAGCAAAAGTTATTCTTTCCATGTTTTATGATGCACAACTTTGGGATCTCAGTCTCCTATATGTTGAACTAAACCCAAACTTGTGTTCTGAGGAAGTTCTTGGCAATTCTTCAACATTCTTCTCCACGGAGGGGGAGAGGCCTTCTGGATACCATGTTTCTATGCAAGGTTCTGCAGACAATGAGGCATGCAGATCTAATCTTAATTCAATCCAAATACCTGCCAGACCAGTGAATTTAACCTTAAACTTTCTGCAGACTAAAAATTATTCACTCTTCAGCAGAGTAGTTGAGAACTTAGACTGTAAAACTAAGCAGTGAGGATGAATTCTGGCTCTGGCATTTGCTACCTTGTGTGATATTGGAGAAGATATGTACCTCAGTTTCTTTATTTGTAAAATGAAAATAATGATAGAATATGCCTTATAGATTTCTTATGAGGATTAAATAAACATTTATAAAGAAAGTATTTACAAGCACTCAGAAAGCTTAAAATTGTTACCTAAACCTCTGTTTTGAGAAATCCTATTCTTGGGTGAGTTCTTGAAGTAGAATAGATGTTCTACTATTTTTCTTTTATTCAGCCAGACCATGAGAGAGCTTTATACATGTAGCACATTGTACTGACCCTGTGAAAAACTGTTTCTGTTGATGGTACTTGGATGTAAAGCCTTTAATTTTATTAGCCAAGTTTCTCCAGAGAAACATGGATAGATAGGATAAGTGCATATATACAGAAAGAGATGTATCTTTAAGAATTGACTCATGTGATTGTAGGGGCTGGTAAGTCCCTAATCTGCAGGGCAAGCCAGCAGCTGGAGGCTCTAGAAAGGGTGGTTGTTGTAGCTGTAGTTTGAAGGCAGTCAGGAGGCAGAATTCCTTTTTCCTCAGGGGACCTCGGTGTTTTTCTCCTAATGCTTTCAACTGATTTGATGAGGCCATCCACAGTACTGAGGGGAATCGGCTTTACTCAAAGTCTACTGATTTAAATGTTAGTCTCATCTTAAAAAATACCTTCATAGTGACATGTGGAATGCTATTTGACTAAATATCTGGCTACTGTGGCCTTGTGAAGTTGACACATAAATACACCACCACATTACCCTTCAAGAAGGAACATAAGAAGCATCTCTATAAAACTCTGAGATTTTATAAGAATGTTATTGATAAAAAATTTACCGTGGAATGAAGCATGAGGGTTAACAAGAGGCACCTCTTGGTTTTCTGTTTCTACAGAGGAAATGTTGGCTTTTATTTTAGAGGCACTGTGAACTACACAACTAAATGTAGTTTCCGTATTTGCATTGGTTGCTAGGAAGCTCAAGGTCATCACTTGGCAAAGCTCCAGGGAAAAGTCTAAGACCTCGAGGCATACATTTTAGGTACTACATTAGCCTCTGTATCACCTTGATTGTCCTTCCTATTATTTTCTAGCAACCTGTATCAATGCCCGTTCTTGGAAATAAATAAGTACGCCCTTATTTATTTTCCACATAAATCCATCAAACTCTTACAGTTTGATTTGTCAGTCTGTATGACCTCAGAGACCCTAAGTCCCTTAAAAATGGGAACCATGTCTTGTTCAATATCACATCACCCACTTCTAACACAGTATCTAGACTGCAGCTAATTCTGAATATATATTTGTTGGATGTATTAAAAAAGTATGTATCTTTATAAACCACCTCAAGTCCACTTTAGGATAAAGCACAACATAATTGCTACATAAAATTATATTCCATTCTATGTATAAAATTCATTATGAATCTTAGAAGTGAAATTCTAATTTTGAGAGAGGGGAAACAGGATAATGCTAGTTTAGGAATTAATCTGAAAAATTGATACACACTTGTAGCTGGTAAAATAAAAGAATAGAAATTGAAAGGCTAACCTTCGACTCTAATTACTGAGATTATTCTCTTTTGTTGAAAATCCCTTTTTAAAGGCGAGCTCGCCTTTCTTCCTGGAGGTTAGTGGATAGTGGGAAGGGAGGTGTACTCAGCAACCCCTCAAGAGGCTTTTGAGACTCATACATTGGTGGTTGCTAAGAGAGAATCATTTTCACAATGAATCATTTGCTTTTATGTAAGGGTAAGATTTGCCAGATGTTTCTGGCTGGGTGTTTTGGGACAGGTGACTGTCCTCTAGCTGATTGAGCCCATGGATGGGTCTTATCAATTTAGTTGGTTTTGAGGTGCCAGTCTATTAGCTTACTTGTGGCCAAGAATGCTTTGACATTCTCCTCAACTTGACTAAACTTTAGACAGTCTTCTTCCTGACCTCCCTTTTCTTAGAGCTGTTCATTTAGAAAACTTGCAAATCTTTATCTGCCTCCTTGAGATGTAATTAAAAAAACAAAAACAAAAACAAACAAACAAACAAACAAAAACCAAAAAATCCAAAACTCCTTGCTACTTTTATAGCCCAGGAGTCTTTCTCAAGGACCTTGGAGCCATCTCTATTGAAATCTTCATGGAAGCGTGTCCTTATCTTCCAGTTTCTGTAAGAGGGTAAGTGCCTAACTTCTGCAGGCAACTTGCTTCAAAAGTAAAACTACCTCTTATCATAAAGATACCTGAAAGTTTATGCTTGTTTTGGGTTAGGGCAATGAACAAACACAGGTGACCTATAATCCTCTAGTCTCTTCCCAGCTCTTAAAACCTCTCCATCTCTTAGAGCTCAGACTGAGTTCTGGCTTCTTTCCTCTATTGCATTTGGCTTTTAAAAGTCTTCTTTGCATGTGTAACTTTGTCCAGTGCATTTTTTTTTGACAGAGTCTTTCTCTGTGGCCCAGGCTGAATGCCGTGGCACTATCACCACTCACTGCAACCTTCACGTCCTGGGCTCAAGTGATCCTCCCACCTCAGCCTCCCAAGTAGCTGGGACTACAGCTGTGCACCAACATGCCTGGCTAATTTTTCTATTTTTAGTAGACATGGGGTTTCTCCATGTTGGCCAGGCAGGTCTTGAACTCCTGGGCTCAAGCAATCCACCCACCTAGGCCTCCAAAGTGCTGAGATTACGGGTGTGAGCCAACATCCCCAGCCAAGTCCAGTGCAATTTTTGCTTTGACCCTTGGCACCAGGCTTATGGACTCATGTTATGACATTTTAAGGACAAATTTACAAACCAGAGTGCCAGGTTTTATAAGCAGGAGTCCAACCCAAGAGATGATTGGCAAGCTCAGCATTAAAATTAAATGTTCTCATCTAGCTTGTAATATTTACACTTTTACTTTGCAGTTATTTCTGCTTAAAAAGCCACTACTATTTGTCTACTATGAGAAAAATCCTTTCTTGTAATCACTGTTGGCTGAACACCAATGACAATTTTTGAAAAATTCTTCCTATTCCAGTGGACTCACCTGTGATAATGAACTTTACCTGTGTTCTTGAAAAGCAGCAAGGGTCAAAAAACTTCCCACCTTTTTGTGTTTCCAGAAATGACTCACTACAAACACCCATTCTTCTCCATATTACTTAGATAAACCTCATAGATGAATCCCTTGTTTGTTTACAAACACTATAACAAAGTGAGACACAAACCTTCCAAATTCCTATTTTTTATCTTGGAAATTACTAGCTGAATTGTTTGTCCCTGCTAACCAATCTGAAAATAATATTTGATAACTTGACCAAACCTAATTCAGGCTTCTTGCTTTCACCAGGACTTAGAACTTTGGACTGCCTTTGAATTTAAACAAGTGTTGGGAGCTTAACCAAGCACTGGAAAGTAGAGCTACCACCCCTCACCGTACCGCTCAGAACTGGCTAACCACAAAGAAGACGTTTCCTGCTCAAATACCTGATCACCACACCTACTCACCCAATGCTCTGGTACCCAGCTTTTTCTTTTCCTGTTTACCTCGGTATTAAAGAAAAGCCTTTCTGCCTGAACTCGGAGATGCTTGTAGATATTACAGTCGGAGTGCACTCCCTATTGCAATACCCGCTTCTATTGCAGCAGTCTTTTCAAATACAATTTCTTCTTCCCTAAGTTTGGATTTTTTTTTTTTTCACCTGAAAATCATCACCATTTTCATTGATTGCCAAGCTTTCTCTCATCTCTACATTCTACAGTTTTTGGTTCTGACAGCCTTTTTCTGCCATACTACCCCAGTTACAAATCTAACTACAGAAGCATCTCAGGGGCAGGATGATTTTGTCACCATGAAAAACTGTGTAAATTGACATGCTAGAGACATGGATAACCCTGGAAAACTAAAGCAGCGAATGGTTCAAAATTTACAGATTCAACTTTCTAAAGCAATGATTTTTTGACTGACTTTTAAAAAATTGGCTGCGTGTATATCTCCTAATGCTTTCCCTCCCCCTTGCCCTCACCCCACGACAGGCCCCGATATGGGATGTTCCCCTTCCTGTGTCCACGTTATGCACATGTACCCCAGAACTTAAAGTATAATAATAATAAAAAAAATTGGCTGTGTTTTTACACAGTCTGAAGACAATCTGAAAATTGAAGTTGGCTTGAAATTTATATTGGATTAGCTATGCTTTTCTGCTACAATCAGCCACTAGCCTCACCACCACCATGAACAATGATGCATGTTTTCAATTTTACGCCTCTATTCCTTGCCTGAGAATGTTTCCATATAACTTGTTATTGTTTGACTTGGGGACTTAATAATCCAAAAGGAACAAGTAGAAGCACCATGTTGTCATGAAAATATCTCTAGGGTAGGAGTCACGAGACCTGGGCTCTAATATTGGCGTGCCATTTATTTATGGTGATCCTTGGTGGACACTTAAACTCTTCTGAGCTTCCATTTCGTTAGAATAATTAATCTTACTCCATATTTTAAGGACATTACTTGTTTCACATATGTATCTTATATCTTCAATAGACTGAGAGTTGCCTCAGAGACTCTATAGTACCCTAACTGCTTAAAATAGCAATAAACATTTAATTTAATAGTTGTTCAATAAATACCTATGAGTGTGTGACTTGATGTGTATCACTGTAAGCAATACTAAAATAAATTCCACAAATAATTCAACAAACATTTATTGTGTGAACATTATTGTGCTAAGTCCCTTAAGAAATATAAAATGGATCAGACATGACTCCTGCCCTCCAGGCACTTAGAGTCCACCAGAGGATATCAGAAATGCATGTAAATAACAAGATAGAATATTTGAAAAGTCCTAAGAGAAGTACAGAAACAGTGGCATGAGAGTTCAGGGGAGAACTTATTTCTAGCTTGGAGGAAAATTATGAAAAACTATGGAAATGAAATATGAGTTGTCCCTTAAAGCACAAGTAAAATTTAGACATAAAGGAAAAAGAAGAACTTCTAGTGGAAGGGCACAAAGATTCTGGCCAGTCACGAGTGCAGTGGGCCAGGCTGGAATATATATGCCCCCCTGCCTAAGGGGACAGCTGTGACTCAGCTTTGGAAGAATGTGTGCATGTATGTGTGCGGGTGTTGTGTGTTTGTGGGTGCACGAGAGAGAGGGAGTTCAGGGAACACTTAAAAGGAATGGAGCAGAAAACGGCCTCCTTAAAATTATCATTCCTTGAGACTTATTCACCTGCATTTTTTGTTGTAGATTAAAAAACAAAAAACACCACGCCACAACTCGCCATTCTTCTTAGAGTAGCCAAAAAATCCACTCTAACAATCTTAAGTGTGCAATTTCTGGACAGCTTTCACATATACATCTAATATGGAGTTACTAGAACTAAAGAAAAATCAAAGTAAAAAAATAAGATTTTATTTTACGGTAGTGAATCTGTAGAAGAAATATTAGCTAATGTATTGAATTTATATGTTTTTAAACATATTGAATTTGTATTTTTTCAAACATATGCTTAGTGTGTTTCTTTTCCTTCAAGATTTTACAGTGCGGAATGGGTGACCACATACATGGTCTGCATTCACAGTTATAGGTAACGGAGATTAAACTGAGCATTATGGATTTATATATATATATGTAGATTGATACACATATATAGAGATATATACATATATACATACACATATGTGTATATTATATATGTATATATGTAGAAAGAGAAACAGAGACTAAGAGGGAGAGATTTGCCAAATATTATTCCTATCAGCAAAAAGTCATCTTATAAATAGGCTATACAATTACATTATAATTAGCATAAAATTTATTTTATTGAAAAATCAGTCCTTAGTTATGTTATATTTTTGCATAACGATGTTGCTTTTATTTTTAAAATCTGATGAAAAATATACTTTTAACATCTTGACATTGAGAACATTATAAGTATCTGACAGGAGTTCAGCCTGAGCTGTGTGGTTTTTAAGGCTCTAGCTTAGAGGCGCACTTGAATGTTGAAGCACCGTAGTCTCTGCCTCATGGCCTGAGTGCCGGATCCCCAAGGTCGTGAAGAGCAGGAACTGATTCACTTGAGTTTGGGGCAGACCACAGAAGACCACACAGCTCAGGTTTAACCACAGACTCATCTAAATACACATTTTAGGAACTTTGAAGAACCCAGTCTCCTCTCCACCCCCCTCACTTGCCTCAGACTAAAAAACCACATCTCAAATCATTGAAATGACCAAGAAACTGCTAAAATCCTTCCCCCTGGTATTTCCTTTAATGTGTATCTGAGGGAGCGAGGGAAATTTCCAGTGTGGCGTTAACACAAGAGAAGACACTAGGGACTGTTTGTGCATTTGGCTCAACTCAGGCTTCCACTTTCAAACCAGAGACAAATCATTTAATCAAATACATCCACTCCCCTTTTCCTTTTGCTAGAGACTATATAGATAAAAATTTTTAAAGTCCTGAAGAAGTTCTTTTTTTTGTATGCGATGAATAACTGTAGTATGAGTAGTTTCCTTTGTGAAACATGCAGTGGACTTCATTACTTAAAATTAACATTTTTCCCTGTATTATTTTCTGTATGGAAACTTACTGTTTTCTACTAGTTATCTGTTTGCCACAAGATAGAAAAAAACATAATATTTATGTAAGAGTATGATGGCAGCAGATTTCTGACAAGCCCCATTTACATGGTACATCGTTCCAAAGAATGTTTGAGTAGAAAATACAGAAGCACTATATAAACCTATTATTACATTTGAGAAATCATTAGCCTCAAAGGAGTAATAATAGTATGCTATTAAAACCGTGAATACATTTTTAGTATCTGTATTGAAAAAAAACTTTATAAATATGTAAATTTCTGGTCAACAAATCCAAAATAAAATGCACTAAAAAACTGATATGTAGACAAAAGTTTATTTACACCATACAACATTTTAAATATTTTATACACAGCTGCAGCAGAGAAAGCTTCTCAGAGCTTTCTAGAGAAAACTGCAATAATAAAGATGTGAAATATATTATTCATATAAAAGTGAGATTATTACTTTATTGCATTTAAAGCAATGAAGAATGTAGCTCAACAAACATTCATTTAATGACAAAAACTTTGCTTTTATATTATAAAGTAAAAAGTGTAGTAATGGCCAAACAGACTGTTATAAACTTTAAAAACTGCATAAATATATACATTGTGCTTCATGGTGAAGTTTTTTGAAAACTAAACCATATGAAGCGGTTACAACATGAATCGTTGCTTGAGGTTTATCTATAAAGATTACCTTACAAATCCATTCCACGGGTACTTACAACACAGGATGGTCAGAACTGTACACCTGGTCATCTCTCCACTAGCCTGACTAGTGAGAAGTTACCATATGAAAACACCACTGACGTTTGGCACATGAAGGTCCTGACATAAGATAGTCACACTGTCCAGATAGAAATGTCAGGCTTCCCAAGTCTTAAGTGTCAGTGCAATAAAGTTTTGTCTCTACCTTAGTCCATTTTGATTTTTTTAAACTTCTGTTTGAAAGTCACCCTCTTGCACATCCAGAGGCAAATTCAGACACTTCTCCCACTCTGCTGGCCTCAGTTCCAAAGCATCCTTTGCCTCTGTGTCTAAGACATTGATTGTGGTGTAATGCGGGTATTCACTGGGGTTTTTGAAAGTGTCCCATGGATTCTTGTTTGGTGCGGGGTTTTCCTGTTGAGAAGAGAGGGAAAGAGAGTCATTTATGTGATGACCAGGATCACCGCTAGTTGAAGTTTCCAGGAAGAGAGCGTGTTTGTAATCTTAATCCAGTTTCTGTGATGCAGAGATGACTTGAAAATACGGCCAACTGTGGGAAATAGTTTTGATTTTAGTTTTATTTCATTGAACAAACTGATGAATACCTTCTCTTAGTTACCCAACAATTTTCTAGGAATCAAAGGAAGTGAACAGTAGTATAGAAGGCAAAGTAGGCGATGTTTTGTTTGGGGCATGTTGTGAATTGTCAGTATGACCATATGTTGAAGTAGGAAGGAGAGTTAAGTCACCACTAAGATTAAATGTAGAAAATGTAAGTATTGTGACAGAAATTTGGTGAGATTAGCAGATTTGAGAATGTCTTATGGGGCATATTATTTGATAATAAAAAGTTACTCAAGGTAACAGAATTCCATTAAATAATTTAGATCACTATGCCTAGTTTTTCTCAAGAAATTAACATTTTAGAATATTTAAATGCTGCTATATTCTCTTGTTTTATGAGTTTTTTGTTGTAGAATACAGATTGACTAAAATTAATAATTATGAGATAAAATTTAACTGTTTATCTAAATACTTTTTTAAACTTGTAATTGTATACCAATAAATTCTATAAAGTTTGAAAGATATTTCCCTCTTGAAAATCACTGCCTTTAATTTCTATTAGCTCTCAATTTCTATTTTTTCAGAATTATTAAAATGATCTTAGAAGCCCAATATTCCAATTTCCTTTTTATTTTTCATTATAGAATGTCATGTTTAGTGAGAATATTATAGTTGTCGAGTGTAAGCCTTCCCTGCTCCCCAAATCTGGCGTTTAACTGATTATAATCAATTACCAAGTGAACAGAAAATAGGTACTTGAATTACTATCCAAACTCCACTCAATATATTAAACATCATCTGAAACTATGGCTAAAGAAAGAGAGGCAATCTGTATAAATACTTATCATACCTAAACCATGTGCAGTGATGTGTGCCTGTAATTCTAGCTACGTGGGAGGCTGAGGTAGGAGGATTGCTTAAGCCCAGGAGTGTGAGACCAGCCTGGGCAACATAAAAAAACCCAAAACCAAAAACCAAAACAACAACAAAAACACTTACCATAACTGGAAATTAAATTAATAAAATGTTTAATGCATTAGATGTTTTCAGCACTGATTAACCTTACTTCTGAGAATATATGGGGAAGAAAGGTTAATAGTAAACATTTAATGAAAGGTTAATTTTTAGGATGTGTGGAGGGAATTAATTAATTATGCTTTAGTCAAATATTCTAAAGTCTCATGAATTACAGTCTTGTAGCTCTACCTCTGCCTTATCCTTCCTTTCTTTCCTCTCTCCCTCTCTGCTTCTCTTCAATCAATATTTATTTATCAGCTGCTCTGTGCCAGACACCATATTAGCTACCAGGGAGGATGAAGTCATAATCAGCATGGTCCACTAGGAAGCTCAAGATTTAAAGCCTGATACATGCAGGTCCAAATTCCAGTTCCTCCACTTCAGATGAATGTGATTTTAAACAATTGATTTCATTTTTCTGAACCTCAACCTGAATATCTGCAAAACAGCGATATGCTTTATATTGTGGGCCAAGGAGTTGGCAGAACGTGTGGATCAATGCCTACCTTATGGGGTTGCAAAAATAAAAAAGTGGGGTAACCTGGAATGATGCCTGGAGAATTTAATAAACACTCAATATATAGTAGCTATACTTATTACAGAAGAATGTATAGTTAAATGGAGGTTAAAACATGTTAATATTTATATCTATCATCCAGGAAAAGTACTATGGGAATTCAGAGAAGGATAGAGAGATGGCTTCTTTATACAGGAAACACATAAAACTTTCTGAGAAAAGTAACATTAGGGCCAGAATAGAGGGATGGGCTTGGCCACGAACACATATGTGTGGTTGGAGGTCTGGTGGCTGAATGACACACTGGGAAGTAAAAATCCAAAGAACACGGAGACGGGAAAGCCATGAGAACAGGACCTATCTATTTTAGTTGGCATAAAAGAGAATAGCAGAAAAGCAGGCAGATGGTGAAGTGGAAGCCAGATCATAAGGGATTCTGAATGCCTGGCTACTAAATTTGGAATTTATTTTGTAGGCAATAGGGAGATGTTGAACGTTTAGGGGCACTATGGTGAGACCTGAATCATCAAACATCAACTGAAAGGCTCACTGGTTCGAATTCTACTGAATCAGATCCACAGTGGACTCATTTATCATACACGAGGGTTGTGTCTAAAGGAGATTTCTGGGAATCCTTAGTTTGAAAGAAAGTCCAATTAGTTCAATCCTGAAAGAATTCAGAGTATGTAATTCCAAGTATTTGTTCATTTGCTTGGAATATATAGGGGCTCCATTATGTTTGGAACAGATATGATTTCAAAGATCAACTGTTATGGATATGTGAACTAAAATGGCCAATTTTAAACTTTGTCAGAAAATCTATATTCTAATTTCAAATGCTATTATTGTCACTACATGACCTATTGAATTCCTGAGAGGTTCTATTAGTGGGTAATACATTAATTCATAATTCATTAATTTTGGCTTTCTACTAATCTTTAGCATCCCAAGCCACTCCCAGCTCAACTGGTGTTCTCATTATTGTTCACAAATGTGTGGATGCCCTTTAGGTCAGAGGCTTCTTTAGTGGTAAAAAACTACTGCACTCAGAAGTCAGAGTGGGAACAAGATCTGCAGGGAGTAGGGAGAGACTTTGTTGTCAGTGTGTGGTACCCAGGAGCGACTCATCGTCCTGCGTGTTGGGCGTGATAAGAGAGGAGCCTATAGACTCTCATACTGAAAAGTGTAATATTGTCAATTGTCCAAGTAAATGATGAACCGTGGAGCTGTCCAAAGGGATCACTGAAGTTGGTGATGAGAGCTGTAGGTGCCAGGAAAGGTTTCAATGGAGGTGTGAATCTTATGATAAAAACTTCGAAGTTAGTGTAAGTCTCCGAATTTATGCTGCTGTTTTGTGTTTGTTAATTTATGTTTTGCACTTGAGTACAGAATAAGGAGCTGTAGTTAAACAGATGCATATTTGTTAAAGGCTAAAACATCATAAATTCCATATAAGCCAAAGTGCACGAAGCTTCCCAAAATGCTAATTTGGTCTTAAGCTGCATCAGTAGAAATAGAATGTTAGGTAAACAGAGTTCAGAGCCACCCAAAAATATGGCAGGGCTGCCTGAGCATTTCCCATAGTTCGTGGATCCAGAGCACACTGGCTGTCCACTTGTGGATAAGTCCCTCCCTCCCTCCATCCATCTATCCTTTTCTCTTTTCTCCTTTCCTTTTTTTCTTCCTTCCTCTCTCCTTTGATTCCTCTCTCTCTTCTTTCTTTCCCTCCTTCTTTCAACCTACCAATATTTAGGTACGAAGCAAAAAAGAGTATGCTTATTTTTAAAAAGTAAGAATTTGCAAAAGCTACTTGGGGGAAAGAGATCTTAACTGAATGGTTTGTGAAACACACACAGAGTAAAATAGTTTCTTCTCTGGATATCAGTGCCTTCTCTTTTTTAGTGTGATTTAAATGTTTTCCTGCCTGGAAGCAAGGAAATGGACTAAATGGTTTTTTGGTTTCCCTTTGATTCCCCAAATTCTATTATTCTACATAATTACCATCATTTGCAGTGCCAGGCAGGTGCTGTGAGTCAGCAGCCCGGAAAAAAAAAAAAAGAAAAGAAAAGAAAAACCCCTTTATTTGAGGTTTTAAAAAAGTCTGTCTCCACCCAATTATGCAATTTTTCATTAATAATGTGCCACTACAAATTATGTGACTAAATTAAAGATAATGAACTCACTCATGCTCATTATTAATAAAAACTGAATAAGGAAGTCGCATTTTTTTCTCTCTCTTCTCAGATATTTAGGATGACAGTCAAGCAGCAATGACAACTCTATCCTCCCCACTCCTAACCTTCCAAATGGTAAATATTTATAAATCTCTTCTAGAAAAGGCACGCTGCTGCAGAGATGTGGTGTAATTAGTAGACTATTTTTGTTGTCAGGAAACTGAGATACAGATAGTTGTGCCATTAATGATTTAATACCCAGACCATACAACAAGGGGAAATTACAATCATATTATAGCAGTTAGCCAGCTGTATCTGTTGCATAAGACTTTTAGATTTGTAAATATAACCCTCTCCTTTTTTAAGTAATGAAGTTTCTTCAATTATTTCAATGTTATCTTTCAATATTTCGAAATGAGTAGGTAATGTGTTTAGGTCTAATCTCAATGGTGTAATTCTCACTTGCATGCTAGCTAAAAATTGATAGCCTTCTATCAGGAGGAGTAGAAGAGGAAGATCCACTCATTATGAATGAAGTGTTTTCTATATGCCTAGCATTTGATTGGTGATAACAAATAATACATGATTCCTACTTTAAGGAGAAAAATTGATGAACATGAAACTATTAAGAGACCAATTAAGAGTTAGAGCGTATATTTCTCATAGCCTTCATTTAACAAACACAGATTGAATGATCATAGCCATGCTATAAATCAATAGAAGCCATGATAACTTATCACAACTGGAATTGTACTAGTACTGAGAGGAATAAAAGAAAAACATAAAGATACATAAAAGATACTCTTCAGCTCTTCCGAAGCTAACATTACTAATCAGGAAGCTAGGGCTAAGGCTCATAAAATATATATGGAAGAATCACTAGATTAAGAAGGTGACCAAACGTCATCTACTTTAGAACAATATAAATATTGATGTCTGGAAAAGAAGAAGGACCATCCAAGGGCCGCAAAGAGTATGAGGCAAAGAAAGAGCCCCATATTTGGGCAAAGGAGAAGAGCTGGTGTCAGATGGCAGTCCCAGCTCTATGTCTTATAGCTGAGCCTCAGCTTCCTAGCCTATAAGGTGCTTCTTAACCTACTTGCTTTTGAAAGTGTTGTAATGACGGAAGATATACATTAATTACTATTTTCTATGCTCCATTTAGGAGGGTGAAATTGGAGTTTAGAAACCTGAGTTGGGTGACTTGCTTAAGATCAGATAGTTCTTGATTGAGCTTTTGAGCTTTCGACTAGTATACTGATTTCTAGAGTCCTGGTCTAGTGCTCTTATAATTACATAAACTTCTGTGAAGCTATGATTATGCCATAAACATAGTAATTGTACAAAGTTATTTTATTTGATGAAGTCCTGTACTAAGATTATAATAATGTAAATGAATGAGAAGAGAATGGTCACAGTTAATAACCAGAGTCCCCAGTGTTGATGTGTGTACGAAAATTCTTACCACAAAATAAGTAAATCTCCTGGAGACAAAAATCTATCACTCTGGTTTCAGGTTACAACTTCATATACATAAAACAATTACATTTATGTCAGACATTCAAATGAAAATGGAAATATTAACCCAAAGGGATATTTGAAAAGAAACTTAATTTTAATTTTAACTCTGACAGTAAAATGATCAGATGAAGCCAATATAGTTTTGATATAAAACTAACTCTAATGAAAGCTTATAAATGAGGATATTTGAAATATGAATAAAATGCCTAAAGATTCTGTCATTCCTAATTTGTCTTGGTAGACTTTCCAAAGTATGTTTTGGGGGCTTATACTTTTTTTTTCTATGTAGACTCATCTTATGTTCCCACCATTAGGAGGTCCTGGAAGGCAGGAATAATATCTGACATGATGCATCTTCTACTCAGGCATTGAAGCAAAGCATACTTACCATACTGCTTGTATTTGGTATATCCCGAAATCTGTCCAAAGTTTGAAATTTCTGATTTAGTTCTTGAAATAGTTCCATATGCCTCTTCCTTGTATGCATGACCTTCTGCAAAAAAGAACAAGATAGCTCTCATCCCCAACTTGATGTATGTTTTTCAAACAAGAGAGATTTAATATTTTTGCTTTAATAATAAGGGTAATCAAGTTTGGCAGGAACCAGGAGGTCCTATAAGATGCACAAATGCAAATAAGTTGCAGCAAATCATTGTCTCATATTCAGCACTTCTTACACATTAAGAATTGGCTTTTTCTTTCACTTACAAGACTACAAAAAAAAGGTTTTGTTGTGGGTACATTAAAAATGTACCAGTCATTTCTGAGTAAGATTTTCATTATTCAAAAGTTAAAACTGTTTTACAAAAACTGTTATCATATTTTTAAAATGTTTAAAAACTTAAACTTGTAAAGCACCCAGTCCCTGATGTTTGTCATGGGAAATATTACTTTTTTATGCTTTATTTCTATAAACACTAAAATCCTAGCTGGCTGTACTAAAGTGGGAACAAAATCCCAAGCCCTGCCATTAAGGCTGAATCAAAGCATTAAAGTGTCTGAAATATATGTGGGATGTAAAACCTTGCATTTTCCATGTGCATAATGATTGAGCTTCTTAGGGGGAAAATCTGACCCATAGATTTCATCCATTTGTTTAGGAGATGGTATAGATTCTTAACAATTAGGGTTCAGAGCATAAATTGTGTAGCTGATCTGCTTCTAAAATCACAGATACAAATATATTCATACTCCTCATCCCTGGTTACACCCTTTTCTCTCAACTTCACCATAACTCAACAAATGGAGTCAAATAAAAATGGCCTTGGGGTAAGTATCATGGGCTGAATCTTGTTCAATTACAGATCATTTAAGAGCACTAACGAAGAAGAGTTAGATAATAAGTGCCCTGTATTTGTAATTGTTATTTTAAAGGAGAAAATGTCTTCCTCAGTTTTGATTTTTAAAAGTTAAAAATCAATATTTTGGTGATTCTCCAAGACTATGCCTTCATATTTGTGTAAGATTTTACTGTATTTTAAGCATATGCCTCATAACTTACCATTTGTGCCTGTGGTTTGCATAGGTATATTATATCTATGTTTAAGCTAGAATTTGAATATTTGGTCCATTGTTTCAACTAGCAAATATTTTCAAAAGTAAGGATTTGTTTTGAAAAAGAAATATATCTTTGGGAGAGCTGTAATGCCTAATTCCTTCTAAAAGACACTGCAGAGAAGCACTTTATCTCCTTGAGGAAAAGGAAAAGGACAAAAGACAAAAACAACTGAATCTTTAACACATTAAAAAAGTCTGTTCTCTCCTATGCAAGCTTTAATTTCCTATATTTAATAAATATGTATCTAGGCAATACATTGTTTAGCTCATTTCTTTCCTTTTCACTAGCCTACTTTTATGTGAGAGATTTCTGCCATTTTATGTCTTGCAACAATCAGTTTCTGTCTTTGCTCCTTTTGGCTCTAGGAGTTGGCTGTGTGAGAATCAGGTGTTTGAGGACAAGAACATGGCAACATTACTCATGATAGGGACATGAAACATAGCAAGCAATTATAGAGCGATTAACTTCCCATCAGTTTGGGGGGGAATATACAAAACGGATTTGCAGGATTAACAGAGAAACACCAGGCAAACATAATTTGACTAGTGATGGCTTGTGGAGATTTATGAGAGAGAGGATTTGCATAAGCAACTCAATGGGGAGATTTTGAGGACCCTGTCACTGGCAAACATAAAGTAGCACATTCTTTCCTTTGGGAGACAAACACTTTCATGCAGTACCAGGTTCTAAGATACTGATGAAAATATGGATTTGTGTCATAAGGAACACTTAAAAAAAAACTATTGTAGTTAGAAGACTGGGTGTGCTTCTAACTTACAAATTTCATTTTTCATAGCAATGAATCTTATAATATAGAGTTATTTTCTTCTATGGCACAGTGGGGTGATGTACTGACATTTTTCTGAGATATTTTATTCCATCATTTAATACATGCTTACAAGCATCACATATTGTGCTAGATGCTCAGGTAATGATGTTGCACAAAATCTGATTGAGTTTCTGATCTCTGGTAGCTTGAAGTCTAATGGAGGACACAGCCATAATAATTCAAATAAATGTAAAACTGTAAGCGTGATAAAGAAAACATATGGTACTGCTATGAAAGTGATAGGATAATTTGCTAAGATAAATCCAAGTGAGGCAATCCCCTCATTTTCATATATTCATATTTAATTTGAAATTCCTCAAATTAGTTATTCCCATGGTCTTATTTGTCTATCCTCTCTTTTCCATTTTCTAGGATTCAGACAATTTCTAGCTCAATTTTTAATTCTATGCTGGAATCCCCTCCCTTCAATGGGATCTTTCCTTTTCAAGTACAAGAAACTCATTCTCTTCTAAGAGAGTTGATGCCAAAGGCACGGCACCCTTATTTTGAGATGAGCATCTGATAATTTTTGTTTGTGAAGTCTCCAATTATCCTTCATCTTGTGAGGATTCTGACTTTGCCTTGGGGAACTATACCTTCCCATCCTTCCCATGTTGCTGGAAATGTCCATTGATATTCCTACTATTCTCTGGCCAAGAGGTGAATTATTCCATCCCCTTCCAACAGTTATTTCATTAGTCAAAGTCACCTAATGTTTGTTGCAGCCAAATACTTACACCAGATAAAGCATTTTTAAGAAGCAAACCAAGCATCAAATACATTCCATGGAAAAGAATATACATTAGCTGATTGGAGGTTTTATAATTATATTCTGATTGAATGGGTAGTACCTAATTCAGAACTGGGTGGATCATATTTCAAAGAATTGGATTGCTATGAAAGTCTAAAAAGTATACAGGAAAAATATAAAGTTATGCTGGTCACCAATATTACGTAACTAAAAAACATTTTGGTATTTTCTACCTGGGTTTATTAAAGCTATTCTGAATAATAAAGCTGAAGGACGCTGAAATGAATATGGAAACAAATGAAAAATTTGTATGCTGAAATATGGGGCCCTTGTTACCTAGAAACATTAATTGCAAATACTTCCTCATGCCAAATATTCATTCTAATTTGAAACTGCCACCTTGGCACTGCCAGAAATAACCATAGCAATGATGGCCTGGAGTTCTGGCAGAAGTATCACATAACAGCTGCCACTGACAGCTCATGTCTCTGACATGAACTCAGTTTGATTGTCCAAGCATGATTTCTTCTTGTTCATAGACTCAAGTAGATCGTCCAGCCTTTAAAATAAAGAAGAGTCCACTGATAAGAATGCCAGCTTCACAGTGAACATTGGAAAGTTTATAACCCAACAATATTCTGGGGCAACAACTTAGGTGTCGTTTTAGTTTTCACATGTACTAAAGGTTTCCTCTTATTTATTTACTTGTGTGAGTATTTATTTGTAGCACTGATGCTTCTAATGAGTTGCCACTTGCTTAGAAGTTTTCATGCTTATAAATCTATTGGTCTATTTCATTTAGCTGTTTTTTATGTTTAGTGACATTAGGGTTTATCTGATTGCCTTTTTCTTTCTTTTCTAATTTAAGCACCCGTTTTTTAAAGAAATTAACTGCTGTCAAAAACTGAACTTAGAATTGAGTTTTCAAAATGTGTAATAATGAGAAAATTCTAATCTGTGGATTTTCTATTTAAATAAAGATATATTCTGATTGACAATATCTACACATCTATAGAATTCAGGTGGCTGTCAAATATTATATGCATCTTTTGCAATAAAGATAAGAGCATGATAATGTTTCCTTGCATTCATATTACTATCACGCAACATTTCTTGAAGCTGTATATGAATCCCCATCCTGAGAGGACCACCAATCTAACTGCACAAGAAATATGCTTTCCTGAGTAGCTTATTTCAAAAGACCCCTTTCTTTTTATACATTTTAAATGCAAGAGAATTAGTCATTGCAATCCTTTAATTATTGATATTAGAGAAAAAGTGATTCTATAAAATGAAGCACATTCATCATATTTCAGATATTTGAGAAAAATGAGGATGGAAAGCCACCTGTATGTCTGGAGTACCTGCTATATCCCAAGAACTCTCCTAGACCATTTAAAATACTTGGAATATGCCAAGTCTGATAGCATATTTCTCCAAGTTGGATCTAGAGAAATGTATATTTAGACCTCAGTTGTATCACTTTTAAGTTGTGTGGTCTGAAGTGTAAAATCTAATCTCCTTTTAGCCCCAGTTTCAGTAATCAGACTTACGTTGCAGGGTAATTTTGAAGATTTAAAAAAGGATATAAAACACTTATCATTGGGCCACACAGATAAGAGCCACTTAAGAAATGGCAGCCATTATTATCTTTCTTAATCCTCACAATAACCCTGGGAGGTAAAGCCATTATCTCCACTTTACTGATTAGAAAACTGAAGCTCAAGGAGGCTAAGTAAGTTTCCCAAGCTCACACAAGTAGTGAGCAAGCTGGAATTCTTTCTGAATTCCACATCAATTCTCTTTGCTTGTTGCTATCTTAGATGTGTCTCATAGATTCAGGGAGCACTCTTCTTTAGACTATTCAGGTTTGTAATTATGTCTTTTTAAAATGGAAAATGAGACAAAACAATCCAGGATGGGCTAGGTGCCCTCTGTAGTGAGCCCATAAGCTCCATGGATATTGATCACCCTGCAGCTATTTCATAGTACTGCAATTATATTTTTAATGGCTGGTCTTCATATTTTGTCTCTGAACAGTTCCTGGACAATTGCTTATTCGTCTGTATATCACTGGCACCTAGCACACAGCATCTGGCATTCAGCAGGTGCTCAATAAATGTATACTGAATACCTTAAATGAACAAGACAGCATAGACATATAGGCCAGGGAAGGCGACTGCCACATGGAAGGCCATTATAAATGTCCTCTTCTTCTATAAAAGAGGTCTTCCCGCTGGAAGAATGGCTCATTTACTTGTCCCAACCAGGAGCTTTGCCTCCTCATTCTGATTTTATTGTGTTCCTTTCTTTTTAATACAAATGACTTGTAAATGACCTGTAAATGACCTGTAGGTGGGCTTAGAAAAAACTGTTTACAGATTTTCACTTTAATTCATAAGTGTGAATCACAGAGTTGATGCTTAAGTCTGAATTATATATCAGAGAGGTATTCACTGTATACAGACTTTTAGAAGCTGAAATAAATTGTTAGAGAAAGTTGGAGAATCTCCTAACCATAAACATTATAGTATGAGGTCTGGAAATCATGGGCTGATGGGAATTAGAAACCAGTTTCTGTGAATGACGTTTTCCAGCCTTAGAACTTTATACACCTACAATGCCGTTGCCCATATCGGCTAAGATGAACCTGTGGTTCTTCTTCTTTACTGGTTTGCATGAGTCCTTTATGGCTGGCTTCTAGATGAAAAGGGAAGGGAAGGTTAGAGTAATATTTTTAAGTTTTTTGGCTTGCTTTGGGGAAAAGAAGTTCTACTTACTATGATCCAATTTGGTGAAGAGGAATTCTGGTATCTATGACTTACTTTGGAGGAGAATAAGGGGCCACTGACAGGAGGGAAAGAGAAGATCAGAGAGATCCTGATTCTGAGGTTGCTTCTGAGGCCTTTCAATGTTCTTAGTTCAAAGCACTCAGTATGCCAAAGCACCATACTCTGGGCTACCATTTTCTGAGCCCTGTATTCCTCTCTCCAGAGTAGGTTGTTGAATATTAGCCTAAAGTGAATGTCAAAACTCATATTAAGGAAGCAATGCACACTACAGGGATTTAGCTTAGTTCTTAAAGTGTGTTGTGAAAGGGGGATGATTTCCTTGGCTGGAGTCCCAATGCATCCCTCACATGGAACTTGTAGACCCATTTTTAGTGTCTATGTTTCAAATATGTTTCTGTTTGAATAAATATGATGCCAGAGTTTAAAAGAAACTAGATGCAGGGTCTGAAAACAGCAAAAATTAGTTGCATATTTTTTTATTTTGCCACTGTCAATCATGAGTATACTTGCTGTAAATGCATAATTTTGCAACAGTTTAAATTTAGTAATATAAAAAAAGATGGCTATTGTCTAGGACTAAATTGCTCAAACTTTTCCTCTAAAAGTACCCAGATTGCCTAATGGAGTGCACTTACTGCTGGGGCTCAGGGATGGCGCAGGAAGAAGTCTGTTATGAACAAGACATTTCTTTGAAATCTTATGCCTTATACTTAGAAATTGAAATATACTTTGATTTCTATGTCACAATTTAGCTGTGTTTGTAGTGATATTGAGTTAATATAAAATGATCTCTTACTTCTATTATCCCCCAAATCTCCTTGTAAAAACTCAAGCCCCCATGAAAATGGGGATTTGTGATTACCCTGTGTCTGTGTCTTCTTTTGTCCTCTGTCCACCATCATTGTCTCCCAGTTTGAGAAATATGAAAATAGTGGAAGTATGGAGCTCATTAAAAACTCAGAGAAATATCCTAAAATGTTTTTAAAAGGCTACATAGGCCAGGAACGGTGGCTCATGCCTATAATCCCAGCATTTTGGGAGGCTGAGTCAAGGGGATCACATGAGCCCCAGAGTTCGAGACTGGCCTGGGCAACATGGTGAGACCCCATCTATACAAAAAACAAAACAAAATATAAGTAAGCCAAGCATGGTGGCACATGCCTGTGGTCCCAGCTACTAGGAGGCTGACATGAGAGGATTCCTTGAACCCAGGAGGTAGAGGTTGCAATGAGCCAAGATTGCACCACTGCACTCCAGTGTGAGTAACAAAGCCAGCCTCTGTCAAAAAAAAAAAAAAAAAAAAAAAAAAAAGGCTACATAATTTTCATGGAAAACTGTGAAAATTTTTATCTCTGCATTTTTGGAAGTGAAGATTAAAAAAGACATATCCGTATGACAAGTATATGGATACAGTTCTTTTTGTTGTTCTTTGTTTGTTTTTACTTTGTTTTGAGATGGAGTCTCACTTTGTTGTCCAGACTGGAGGGCAGCGGCACGATCTTGGTTCACTGCAATCTCCACCTCCTGGATTCAATCAATTCTCCCGCCCCAGCCTCCCAAGTAGCCGGGATTACAGGTATGCACTGCCATGCCCAGCTAATTTTTGTATTTTCAGTAGAGATGGGGTTTCATGGATACTTCTTTATCCATATATTTTTAACATGGCATGGATACTGTTATCTATTAGCGTTTCAGAATGAATGCCTGTAATTGTGTTTCTGGGAATTCTTAGAGCCCAAATCTCGACACAAGACAGACGATTAGAACAACTTACCTAATTGTCTGTTTTAACATCACATTAGGAATCTTTATTCTAAAATATTAAAATGGAACTCACCCTGACTAGATATCTTCTTGATTTCCCTGGTTCTGTTACTGGTACTAGCAAAAACTCAGGCTCAGAACTGAAGAGTCTTCTTTTTTCTGCTCCCTCACCCTTTCACCCTATGTTCAGTTAAGGACCAAATTCCATAGATTCTGCCTCTGCAGAGTCTTCTCTTTGCTTTCTCTTCCTACCACCTCCAGGAAGTGGACTTTCATTACCTACTATACTAGCCAATCCTAATTGGTATTTCTACTTCACCTTTCACCCTGCTACAATCTATCCTCATCTTTTTAAAACCTGACATACTCATCTTTTTAAAACCTAGAGTATAAAAAATCATTCTGTGCTGAAACAACAGCAGCAACAACAACAAGCAAACAAAATACAATAGAAAAAGCTTAGCAGCTTTTAGTAGCAAATTAAATAAAAATCCCTCCTGGACTATAAGGCATGGTTTCTAAATTACTCACTTTAGTCTCTTCTTCCATAGACACCTGTTTAGGTAAATTTTGACTTACCTGTTGTTTCTTAAGAATGCCACAGATTAGCCAACCTACATGCCTTTTCCTATTCCTGGAATTTCTACCTGCCATTTTTCTATCTCCTTGAGTTATATCTAATGTGGATATCTTTGAAATTCAGTGTGGCTATCTTTGAAACGTCTCTTCCATAGTTGTCATTTTTTATACTAGTCTCTGCCTTAACTCAGGTACAGTGTCCAATAACATTTTGTTAAACAAACTGGATGGAAAAATAATTCAATTTTTCACCATTCTTTTAAAAAAATTACTGAATGCTTACTAGGTACTAGGATCTCTGGAGGTGGGCATACAATTTCAATAAGGCATTTGGTTACAGAACACAAGAATATCACTACAGTATTTTCTGTATAGTTTCCAGAAAGCAAGAATCCAGAAATGCAATGCTGTTCTGGAGACTGGCTACATGAAAGGGCTATTCCCCTGGTATGACATTAACTAGCCACAAGAGTTTTAGGGATATATGAGTTGGCAGAATATTATCATAGTGTGTGGACTCTGGGGAGTGTGTTAGCCTTAAAGCCTGAAGCAAAGATGTTTTAAGAAGTCCAAGAAGCAGTCTGTCAGTGGCAAAATATTTAAGCTGGCCATTATATGATAAAGCTTGCAGGCGGAGCAGGAGTGTCAGGGAGCTTGATACAAATTTAATTAAGCTAGCCTGAATTAAGAGGGGGACAACTTGGACTTTCCCTCAAGAACCACCCACAAAATATAAATAGATTGTATCACAATTCATTCGCATTTATACTTGGCAATAAGTTTTCTAAACTCAATCCACGAAATATCTGCCACATACCTGTTATAGCACATGAGACTAAGGGAAATAGCTCTAAACAATTTGTAGAGTAAAAGTAATGTCTCAAAGTTCCCACCTGCCCCACCAAATTTTGACACCTGTAGTAATCATGCAGTGATTACAGCAATTAAAGAGCTAAAGACATGTCCGGGGTTCTTGTGTTGCAATTTCTCTTATTTATCAGCAAAAGTTTTACTAACAACATGGTTTTATGGGTGGAATAATAAGCGTAGAAGTAAGTATCAGCTTAAGGAATCTGCTACCAGTTGCCATAGAGAATAGATGAAAAAAGAACAGTTTTTCTAATGCTCCAAGTGACACAGTATGATTAGATTTCTTTTCAGTGTTTGTGATTACATAACTTAGGTTGGTTTAATTGAGGCTTAATTTTAGTTCTAGGTTTTTACTATATTTTGCCGCTGATGCCTAGTGGGTTAATTCCTTCCTCCTTTCCTTTATACTAACATAACAATTTATTGCTTTTAGACATGAATATATACAGTCTGATCCTCTATTTTTGGCTACCTGAAGAATTAATATTAAAAAGCTATAAAATATCTGTTCTTCAAAGGCACTAAAAAATCTGAAGGCAAAGATTGCTGAATATTGTCTATTCAGATTTATATTCTTGATACTTTTATGCTAAAAACTTTGGATACAATTAAATATATATTCAATGCTAAGTTACTACAATGAGGCTGCATCAGTATTAAAATTTGCTATTTAATCGTAGATAAAAGATTCCTTATCATTACTTTGTATCTTGTAGTCTGAAATGTTACTGAAAAGAACCAATTATCCTTGGACTCCATTCAGGGTAAAACCATTGTTGACCATTGCAGTAAATAAAAACAAGTCTTAGTTTTGACACATGATGTACATTGTAGAGCTAGAACATTGATCTACATAAATGAAACGACTGAATTAGGAGTAGTTAGCACGTTCTGGGAGGCTTCTGTAATTTTAGGAGTATCAATTAAGAGTATTGAGTTCTATGTATGCATCACAAAGGTACAAATATACTGGAGAAATATATAATGTATTATATCCAATTATGTTAGCAGACTATGAATCATATCCAATTATCAATACACATAAGTACATTTTATGTGGTGCTTAAACGTCATTAATTTTGTATTTAGCATAACCTCCTCAGATGGTATGATTTCAGTAATTTCGAGTAAACATATTACAGCATCAATATAAATTCAATGTAAATTGGAAAATGAAAATTTTCATCTTGTTTGTATCTGTGAAAAGGCGTTTACTAAACACAGGAGCACATTGAATCAATAGTTTCTACTGAAAAAAAAAGCATCAAATGTACCGCAGAGAACCTAAATAGCAGGAATCAGAACATGAAACAAGTAATTTTCAGAGAAAGCCTAGCTAACCAGCCTAAGCATACTCACAGGATCTCTTCAGGCAGTCACTGAAGTAAAACCAAGAAAATTGCTTTAAATATAAAAATCAGGAAGCTGACATTCCCCCTCCCTACAAACTGAATCAACCAGGTTCAACTCCTAACATAAATTGTTCACTTATCGTAGTATGTATAAAACAAATTCCTCACTTGTCCAGAAAATCTCAGTTTAGCAAATACTTGAAGTAATTCAAAATTTAAAAATTTCATCCTATACAGGATAAACTTTAATTAAAAATGTTTGACTTATTTAATTAAATTAGTACATAATACCCTTACATGGCTGCATAGAGTAATAATTTTTAAGTAACTATATATCTATTTTGAATTCAAGTAATTACAATTCTAAAATAATTCATATAAACTTACCTCAAAGTCAAGGTCTGAATATCGTGATTTTCTTCTCTGTAAGATATATTTTTAAAAAGAAGGAGAAAAACCAATAAAGTTATGTTTAGTCATTCAAACAAAATGAAAAATCATCATTTTCATTAAAGATAATCCTGCTTGTTTTATACATATTTCCTTCACATAAGGAAAAATGTAAAATTTCATGAATCATGAAAAATTTTATGATTTCAAAATATTCCATTCACAATTTTCTATTTTCACTTTGAACTTCTTTTAAAATTGGAGAATATAAAAATACAGAATATTTCTCATTTTGACCTCTTAACCCTAATTTTTAGTAAGGAGAAAATGTTCCTATGAAAACTCAAACAGACATTTCAATCTTGAAAGAGACTTTAGGCTTACTACAGCAAAGCTACAGACAAACAGGATTAAAAGTTGTATAGGAAAAACTGTCTAGTTACCTCGACATCTTCAACCAACTTCTAGTTTTCCTTCCTACCAAATTCTAACCAGTCCTCTAAGTCCCAAAGTTCTTCATAAGTCTCACCCACATATTTCTTGTAATTTGATAGTCCTCCATGACAGAAAAGTCCTTCTCATTGCTAGTCCTAAGGAACTAACGTATTTGTTCTAGTTCAGCAAAACAAACTATTCCGCACCCCAGTAAAATGTAGATGTATGTGTAAATGTCTCACAGTGTTTCTCTGTGGCTCCACCTTTGTTAAACAGTTTCTGAAATCTAGTTACAGATAAAATGCATTAATAAAATAATGAGGACTGATACAACCAGAAAACAGGATTACAATGAAATTAATATATTTCATGTGATATGATTTTCATGATATTAGTATAAAGTATTCTTAGCAAACTTTTAGTACAGATTTTTTAAATTTAGAATTTTTTGATGAGAGAGGGAATGAAACAGGGAGAATTAACAAACAATTAAAGCATGTAATATTCAGGCAGTTGGAAAAATATACAAACCTTTGGGCAAAATTTTGTTTTATTTTTCCCGTGCTCCCATCCCAACACCTACAAACTTCAATAATTTAATAGGAAATCATACCCAAGATAGGTAGCAGACTCTAGTCTGCATTTTAACTCTTGAACATTAGGAGAGACAGAAAAGAAGCACTAATGTAGTTTCTTGAAAACTATGATTAAATTTCTGCAGCTACAGTTAAAATTGTCATTACAGAATCAGAACCTCACTGTATACCTAATCCCCAAACCACGTTTCAGTAGACAGAAGGGGACATGCCGAAAGAAAGGTTTCATGTTTTAAGTGAAAAATTCCTGAAATAATTTTATTTTAGTGAAGCTGCTTAAGACTGAAAATGCAGTCTTCAAGTACAATCAAGGAGAGGGCTGAAAGGAGACTGCTTTATTAAATAAAAACTCAGCAGGTTGATCTCACTTTCTTCTTGTCTCCAACAGCACCTCAGCCTCGCCGTGGTGACATCCAGGCATTGAGCCCAGCCCTCTTTTGCCATCTCCCCGCCACTATTGTTATCTAACTGTGCTGTGTAAAAACCAGGCTCCAGTGTACTGCACCACACTTTGCTGCAATATGCTAGACTAAATGTCAGGGCTTCCATTCTGCTCTTGGATACCTTTCTTGGCACTGTGACTAAGCAGGACATTTTTGTCAGTATACATTAAGCAAGATTCTTTCTTAATACAGCAAAATTCAAGGCTGGAAACAGTTTTAAGCAATAATTATAAAACATTAGTCATGAGCTTTGCATTTTATTTGAAAATTAAATAGTGACATTTTGTGAAAAAGATTTAGAAGCAAGAGCAAAAGACAGGAACCTAGATCACCAGAGATAGATTCTGTTTCTGAGAGCAGGTATGTCAATGTGAAATATGGAAGGAAAATGGATACACTCATACAAGTAGATCTCATTCCTATTTAATTTTATTAAAATTAAATTCTAACATAAGGCATAGCAGAACTGGCAGTCTTGAAGGATTAGACTAAGGAATGAACAAATCAAACAAACAGATTTTAATCAAAAGAACCTAAAGATGGTGGTGGGATTTGGAGTGGATGCAAAATAAAGCAGTAAAGCCTTAAAAATTAGAGAGTGGGAAAAAATGACAGATTTTTACAGTCCAAGTGAGTTAAAAATGTGTGTAAAGTTATTCAGGTTTCCACAATACTGACCAAGTGTTTCAACCTTTTATTGTTTATATAGCACTTTCACATTTGCACATGCTACCCACCAGTGGGATGGTCGGATAAAATATTATTTATTTTCCTTATTTTATGAATAAGAAAAATTGAGGGTCAGTGGAGTTAAAATTACTTGCCCACTTCACCTGTGTGGTAAGCAAATGAGTTGGGATTCAAACTCAGGACTTCTGACTACAAGCGCAGCATTTCATTTACTATCTCTTGCTGTCTTCTCAGTAATACAGGAGTGATATGTTACAGTAAAAATGCCTGTGATGTTTTGCTAATTGTTACCAGACTCAGCAAAAATAACAATAGATGAGCCAGTCAGTCCAAGTCTGACTTTCTAAGCATAAAGCAAGGTCAAGCAGGTTAACTTTTACTTGTCAATTGCATTTTGAAGGAGAAAAAAAACCTAGCAATTTGATATTTACATATTTGAGAAAATATCTGTGTTGAGTAAAATAACTTAGAAATCATTCTAATGTGCAATCATTTATAAGCAATGATACAATAACAAACAGTAGGAGACTTCTCCACCTCCAGACATGACTCGCTCTCTCTTTTTTTTTTTTTTTTTTTGAAATGGTCTTGCTCTGTCACCCAGGCCGGGGTTCAGTGGCATGATCACAGCTCACTGCAGCCTCAACATTCAGGGCTCAAGTGATCCTTCCACCTCAGCCCTCCTAGTAGCTGGGGCTATAGACATGTGCCACAACACCTGGTTAAGTTTTGCATTTTTTGTAGAGATAAGATTTTGTCATGTTGCCTAGAATGATCTTGAACTCCTGGGCTCAAGCGATCCACCTGCTTCAGCCTCTCAAAGTGCTGAGATTACAGGCGTGAGGCTCCACCCCAGCCTTAGTTTATCTTAAAGGGGCATGGGGCATTGGGAAATTGATGGTGTAAAGAAAGAATAAGAACATTCAATTCTGTTCAGTTTTGGTCTGTTTCCACCGTTGGTATACATACAGTGTATTGGAAAGTCTTTCAAAGTATTGAAGTTTATTGAAACCCTAACTGACTTGCATGTTTATTCAAATGTCTTTCTGAGCTCTCTAAAATATTAATTCCAGAGAAGAAAGTGATTGGAAATTGTTATGTATGTTTTAAATTAAGAACCAACTGAGAAAAGTGGTCAAGCCATAACAATTTTTCTGATAATCTGATAACTTTTAAAAATGCTACATGTAAATTTAATATAAGCCAGGGATAGGTGATATTGAAATATTTAATGAAGATACAAATCCCTCTGTACATATATTCCAATTTTGCAAATAACCTAACGTAAATAATCCTTTTTCTCAAAGTAGGTAATGGAAACCTTCTATGCTCTTTCCTCTTCCTAATTTCTATGCTGTTTCCTCTTCTTAATTTCCCACTTAGAACTCATCTCAACTTGTATTCTATTCTCAATACTCCATTAAAATTCCTCTTGCTGACAGTCTCTGATGAGCTCCATCTGGTCAAATTCCAAGGTCAATTTTCTGTCCATCTTATTGGACACTCAGAAGCTTTTGAAAGTTAATAATTTTCTCATGAAAACACTCATCAGCTCTCAGTCTTCTTATTTTTCCCCCTCTTTCTTGCTGCAGCTTATGCTGAAGTCCCCTTTGTTGGCTCTCTCATATCCCTGCCTTCTAAATGTTGAGTTCCTGGGCTCTCTTCTTTCTCTTATTCTCTTCTGGATACCATAATTCATTCCCATGATTTTGAATACCATCTTTTAAGTTCCAAACATCTTTTATTCCTCCTGCCTTTCCCATGATAGAAAATGCTGGATTTCTAATTGGTCAAGCGAGAGACTCAGGAGTCACCCTTCCTTCCTTTCTGTCCCTCGTTTTCCACATTCAATCCACCAGCATGTGCCATCTGTTCTATCTCTGAAATACGTCTTGTTCTGCCCACTGTTTTCTATCTCCACTTTCACCTGCACAGTCAAAGCAACTGTTATCTCTTGTCTGGATTACTTCAGCAGCTTTCTGACTGTTATCCAACTTTCTGTTCTATCTCCTCTCCTAAAACCTCTGGCTTCTAATCCTTTGCTTTCTGAACAACCAAAGTTATGGATGAATGGACGGATGGATAGTTGAATCGATGGAAAAATCATTGTGACAATCTTTTTTTTTAATATTATACTTTAAGTTTTAGGGTACATGTGCACATTGTGCAGGTTAGTTACATATGTATACATGTGCCATGCTGGTGCGCTGCACCCATTAACTCGTCATCTAGCATTAGGTATATCTCCCAATGCTGTCCCTCCCCCCTCCCCCCACCCCACCACAGTCCCCAGAGTGTGATATTCCCCTTCCTGTGTCCATGTGATCTCATTGTTCAATTCCTACCTATGAGTGAGAATATGCGGTGTTTGGTTTTTTGTTCTTGCGATAGTTTACGGAGAATGATGCTTTCCAATTTCATCCATGTCCCTACAAAGGACATGAATTCATCATTTTTTATGGCCTCATAGTATTCCATGGTGTATATGTGCCACATTTTCTTAATCCAGTCTATCATTGTTGGACATTTGGGTTGGTTCCAAGTCTTTGCTATTGTGAATAATGCCGCAATAAACATACGTGTGCATGTGTCATGAACAGACACTTCTCAAAAGAAGACATTTATGCAGCCAAAAAACACATGAAAAAATGCTCATCATCACTGGCCATCAGAGAAATGCAAATCAAAACCACAATCACATACCATCTCACACCAGTTAGAATGGCAATCATTAAAAAGTCAGGAAACAACAGGTGCTGGAGAGGATGTGGAGAAATAGGAACACTTTTACACTGTTGGTGGGACTGTAAACTAGTTCAACCATTGTGGAAGTCAGTGTGGCGATTCCTCAGGGATCTAGAACTAGAAATACCATTTGACCCAGCCATCCCATTACCGGATATATACCCAAAGAACTCTAAATCATGCTGCTATAAAGACACATTGTGACAATCTTTTGCTTAACAGTCCTCATTTGCTTCCATTGCTTTACAAGACTCTGCAAAGTCTGGTCTCTCCTTTGCATTTTAACTTCATCTTAAGGAGTTCAACATTAGCTACACAGGTATTGTGATCTTATGAGAATATGCCAAAACTCTTTTCTACCTCAGGATCACTGCACTTACAGTTTCTTTTGCCTGAAAAATTCCCTCAGCTCCTTGCAAGCCACATTACTTCTCAATTTTATTTCTTACAATAAATGACACTTTCAGATGCTTCCCAGACCACCTTATCTAGAGAAATCTCTCCCTTTCATTCCATAGTTATTACCCATTACTGCACACTATTTCATTCATTGGTTTAATGGTTGTCTGTCTCTGCCATAGGGTGTATTCTCCACAGGGGCAAGATCCATTTCTATCTTGATTACATTTAGATCCGCAGCATCTAGCAGAGGGCATGGCACAATAGGAGACATTCACAAAATTATTGGTAAATGATTAAAAGAGCTGCACGACAACAGCCAAAAGTGTTCAAAAGAATGTGACTTTTTATTTTTGTTTTGTTGTTGCTGCTTTGCTTGGGCATACTCTGAGAGAATTTGTTTAAGCAGGTAGACTAAACACACAACGAAAACCATTATGAACAGGTCAACTGACAGCTAAGAGAATCAAGACAATTTGCAGGAAGGAAGGCCTATCACTAATAGAAAGGAGAAATTCTTTACGATGATTTAAAAGTGAGAAAATGTACAACAGTATGAAGCTACTCAAAGGAATACTTAGTGAATGTATGCATAGAGGCATTTCTCCACATCTAAGTCTTGTAGAATGATGAATAATTTCTCAAAGGGAATACTTCATTATTTTCGTCACTGCAAATTAAGCTGGACAAGATACTAGAAGATTCACAGCAAGTAATAAATTCCACTGACTAATGAATGGCAATATGCCATTAAAATTTCTATTACAAAGTGACCAATAAACCTACTTGCAAGGAGAAAGTTCTGGTAGCAAATCCACTAAAAATAGCTGCAGAAATGATACCTGAGAATAATTAATTTTTAAAAATGACTTTTATTCAAGCTAATTTTGTTGTACGCCTGCAAGAGAGACAAAATTCTGTAATCCAGGAGTAAAAGCAAAACAGTAAAAAAGGGCAAGTTTTCCTTTCATCAGACTTACATGAGAAAAAAAATGTAAAAGAGAAAAAAATGTAAAAAAGAAAAAGTTGTTTCTGCACATGGTCAATTTTATAATGGTTTCTGTTAGTGACAGAGTGCCCCAGTTCCTGAGTGAGGCCATAACATTTTTTCTAATATTGTGAATATCGATTTAACTCAGCATTCAAATTTCTTTGCAGAAATTCAGGGCATTACAGTAATGACATAATAATAACATAATCTTACATCTAAAGTGCTTCTTACAATTTCAAAGGTTTTTCATGTACATTATCTAATTTGATCCTCACAACAGCTGTAAGGGAGGCACCTGTAATGTGATATTATTGCTAAAATATTTTACCTTTAAAAACCATTATGCTGAGAGCTCTATAATTCATGTCCAGAGAAAAACTGGTGTATAAAAATTTAGCCTAGAATGGTGTCCTTTCTGGCCATTACAAATTGAGAGAGACTTATTTGGTTTCAGACATATAGGTAAGCTTATACACAAATAGACAAGCTAAAACAACAAAATCTTCTATTTTGGGTAAGCATTTTGTAATGTACTATCTAACTGTTATCAGTTATTAAGTTTTTTATTGATAAGAAAAATTAAGGCAAGAACAACAGAAACCACTTAAGGTGTTTACATTTCAGCAAGATGGTCCACAAAAATTCAAATGATAGAAGAACTGAGATGCCACATAGGGGACCATGTAGTAACCCAGGGATTCGCAGAAGAGGTCAGTGTACCTCCTAGGCTGGACAGATACAAAGAGAGGGCAGAGTGATTTAAGCCCAGAGGTTGCAGCACCTGGCATATACTGGAAGCACTGTGGGAACTACACCAGACATACAAGGTGCTTCCAAAAGCAGAAAGAGTAAGGGAGAAAGATCCCAGGTTTCCCTCTTTTCCTCAACCTCTACTCTCTCACCAGTGCTTCCTGTTGGTAGAACCCAGCCAAAAGCCAGTGACTCAAGAACCTAAATTAACCTTGAATGATACAGGGAAAAGAGTGAAGAATGGACCATGTGCTAAACATGTCCAAGATGTGCACATAAGTTGGAAAGACTCTTGAGTGAAAAAATGCTTACTATTTAAATCTAACTTCTACAACCTGCTAAAGTAAATACCAGAGTTTCAATGATTCAGAACAAACACTGACCTGTCTCTCTACAATGTTACAACTATAATTTTTCAGGAAATAAATAAAGAACAATCCAAGGTTTAAATTAGATTTTATAGTCCTCAAGTGCTTGAGAACCATGATATCTCTTTTGTCCCCTCTTGCTCAAAAGCAAAATCTTAGTATGTTTTTTGTTGTTGCTGTTGTTTTGCTCTATGTATACACCATGCACTCATCACATTTTGTTCATTAATTGAAGGTAAATGACTAAAGTGCTGACAACAATATCATTCTTCTTAACCTTAAGCAAAGCAGTTACAGGATATTTAGGGCTGGAGCCATTGTTGTGAAAAATCTTAGTATATTAGTATTGCAATTGTTCCATAATAGTGGCAGCTCTGTATCTAAAGTTTTCAGAATTGCTTAACAAGTTCATTTGGGAATGACTACAGTTAGAAAGAGAACATATCACCAGAAGGAAAGAAACAAGGTACTATTAGGCTCAGAGAAAATCTAGATATGTTTTTATGCCAAGAAACTTCATGAATTTATTGAACTTTTTATATCCAATAATTGGTGGTTAGCTGAACAAACTCCCATGAAGGCTGGAAGCTGTTGTGCTGGCACTGACTTCGGGGTTGGGGAGCCTCCTTCTTTCTTTGTTGCTTCTTGCTTATTTGAATAAATACTTCCACCCACTCACCCTCTGCACTCTTTTTGGCTTTCTTTTTTCCTCCCTCAACTCTCGTTTTTCCTCTTTTCCACTTTCTATCAAATTCTATTCTACAACTGGCAGTGTTTACCTTCTTCTGTTTTTTCCTTCAGCACTTTCCATGCTGGCAGTTTGTGAAAACTGACTCCTCTGGAGGTAAAATGTGAGCGTCTTTATATTATATCCTTGAAAGTATCCTGAGGATCTTGGCCATCCTCTGCTGTGCCAGCTGCCCAGGCTGGATGTTCTCTATGGCTTTAATCTTCCTTCTTACTTACAGGGAGAAAAGACTTAAATTGTCCTATTGCTTAGGCCTCATGTGATCCACATTATTTACCATTTTCACCTTAACATTATCTTCTAAGACTCAAAACACCTCCTGACTACTGTTAATCCCACTCTCTATGTAGATACTCAGGTCATTTTTCTGCTTTTCCTTTATTATTGTCAGAATAGCATCTCCCTCACCAGTTGACCCTGCATACGCAATCTAGCAGAGCTGATAATTCTACTTGACAATGCATCATGCTGCCCGAGAAGAAAGCCAGACCAAAAACTTTATCTTCATGAACACAGCCCCATTTCCAAAATGTGTTAGTTGTACACACTTAAAGGACAAGGGCTTTACCCATTTCATGTCTTTATTAATCATAAGACCAAATGCCTATCAAGGATTAGAAAGAACTTTAAAGTTACCTTCATGCTAATATTCAGGCTCATTACTGTCTCTTCTAGATGGCATAAAATTGATCAGGACAGAAAGATTCTATTCCTAGATTTGCTATGCACTTGCTCTATAACCTTGAACAAATGACTCTAGTTTGAGGATTATAACAACTTATCCCTTGCATGGAGGTGTTGTGAAGATTAATTCCTGTTTTTAAAGTGATTTGAGGATCTGCTAATGAAAGATGCTATATAAATGCTAATTTTTATTATTCATTCCCACATCTATATATTCTCTTTCTGCTATCTCATAAAATAGTCACCCTAAGCAATTACTATTAAATTCATTTAAAGAATGAAAATGAAGAACCAAATTTTCATTCTGAATTCCAAATTTCCTTCCTTTTCAAGATGTAAGTCTTGTGATCTCTAAGTCATTTAAATGCAGGTCTTTTGGCTGAATCACAGTTATATATAATACACTTAATAATAAGGATACGGAAATTTGGAAAAATTACAAACTGAAGAAAGAAGTTCTTGGAAATACAGTCTATTGTTCAAGCACAGATAACCTGTACAATATCAATCCAGCAAAATTTTCAGGCTTTTAGATGTAAAACATTTTTGTAACAACCAAAATATTTTCATGCAGTTCCATTCAACCCCCTTTAACACATTTAAAAGAGCCACACTATACAGAAAACTTCCATATAGTCATTATGATTACTTATAATGTTATGTTATTATATGCACACTTACTGAAAATCCTTTTAAAAACTTCTGTGATTTTTGCATAAATATTTTGTAGTTTGTTCTTATGTGGTCATTATTACAAACCTGGAAGTCTCTGGGATATGCAAGTTACAAATAAAGAAACTGCAGCTATTCTGCTAATTCAGGAGGATGAAATACTTTTGTTCAGAAGGGAGCTTCAGTCACCCTGGAGTTGAACTTGGCTTCTAATGAAGCCCTATCTATGCCTTTGGTTCTGAAGAATGATTCTGACCTAGTTATCCTCAGAAGCCTTACTCAGTTTGAGGGTGATCCAGAACTTAGGGACTTATCTTAGATTCTATTCACATTACCATTTATTGTCTAGAATTTTCTCAATCAATTGGGAAAACCCTGAAAATTACCTTATTCATCGCATTTTTTAAGACTCTCAGAATGCCTCTTCATTTTGACCTAGTGGAAGGAATGGCTTTGGGGAGAAGCATGAAACAATTGCCTCTGGGAACTTTTGGACACTTGAACATACAATTATCAGCATAACTGGGTTGGAAAGGGCAGGCAACTAATTATAGTGCCTTTCTGTAGATAGTGTTTTATGTAATAATCTATTATACTAAAACAAGTGGCAATCATATAAAAGTATGCATGTATTGCATCGTATATGAATATATATGTCAACCACAGGTTTACAGCTATTTTTCACTGTATAAGCAGTGACGAGTTTACTCTTTGCTTTTGGTGGCCTTATGAAAACAAAAAGGCCATGTGGTTGGACCTCAGAATCCTGTTAGTATGCTCAGATTACATTCTTCCTGACAATTCACAGTCTAAGATGCAAAATTTTAATGGTCATTATTCTGTAAGTTAAGAGCAAAATATTTACTCTGAATAATATTGATCTACTGTAATAATAATTAGTTTTTCATCAGTATAATGGTAAAACATTTAGAGAAATATTCCAATTTTGTAATTTTTAACAGTTGCTGTTACACAGAAAGTGCAGATCTCAGTTTAAGTTTGTAATGCCACGTAGACACTGTGCACCAAAAGGACCTGTGGTACCTGAGAAACATCAGAAGAATCCTGTTATTTATTTATTTATTTATTTTATTTTATTTTTTATGAGTGCCTTAGTTCCCATGATGACAGAATTATGACTGATTAGTATCTTTTTAAATATAATGGGTTCCTTTTCAAATATTATCTTGAATAAGGGGATGATAATACACTACTGAGAAAACCCTACATTGAGACTGAATCTCAATAGCCAGAAATTTTCATGATACAAAACTGCAAAAGCTAATGTGAATCTTCTCTTCCCACACCAGTGTCACATCAATCAATCAACCAATCAATCAATATCTCTATTTATATCTATTCATATTTCAACTATCAAGGAAAAATTTAATCTTCTGTGGCTCACCTCTAAAGAACTCATTGATATCGTTGATCCAGTTTCACTTCTTGATAGTCCTGCATTATCATCCAACTCAGAGGCCATGAAATTCTTCACAGCTGTGCGAGGTTCAAAGGGCAAATTCTGCATATGTTCCTGGGGTGCGAGATGTTGCTCTAAGTTCATATTGAACTGGTCCATTACAGGGGGATTCATATTGAATTCAGGGTTTACTTTGTAGTGCAATAGCCTTTCATGCGGCAAGGTTTCCATGCCAATATTCATTTTGCTTTCTTCTTTCATTGAAGGCTGGTTATTTACAGAACTTCTGGGCATCACAATATAGTCACTTTCCATCATTCTTTCTTGAGGATGGACTATGTCCATGTCAGCCCCTCTCAAATTATCATCCGTACATAAGTACACAGTTCTCCGCAATTCACTATTTTCTTTTTTCAAACATGGATTGCTAAGCTCATTCATACTCATGGGCATGTGCAAACCTGTGGGTTGCTGGATGATGACTTTGGAAATGACATTTCCAGGCAATGTTGAATAGCTTAGCCCTTCAGGGTTTGTTCCCTTTTCTTCTTCATCATCATTTAGAGAAATCCTAGAAAGTGTTCCTGTTATTGTGGCTGCTCGGCAAGGACCAATATCCTTATGAAGAACTGTGAGTAGGAATGTAAAGTTGAAGAAAGAGAGTTAATGTGTGTTTATTTTTCATTATTATATTATGTTGTCTCGCTTTCTACTAAACATTAAAGATATATTATTTGGTAGGTATGTTATTTAAAAAAAATACATATCAATTTGTTTGTACATGGTCCAGAGAGATTACTCAATCACTTTTCATTGATTCTGTTATGCTCTCATAGATCTCAGGTAGCCCATAGCTAAAGCAAATCTGAAAGTTGATTAATGGGCTTTCAAAAATCTTAGTACCCTGTCCTTAAACAACTCCATATAACTTTTCAGGGAAATAGGAGATTACCAGAGAAGTTTTCTCCATCAATGTGCTCCAAAGGATTTTTGTAAAATTATGAACATATTCATACAAATTTGATTTTTTTCTTAATGGCTTTCCCTCCAATGTGTTCTAGAAGTTACGCTCATTAAAATGCTTCTTGAAGGGATAATTAATGGGAACTTCATCCTACTGGATCAGAAATCCCTCCAAAAATTATGCATATTGAAAATTAATGAGGATTTTTTCACTGAAGTCCATATGGTCAAGGTGGATACAATATTCAAAAGTATTTATCATATTCAGTTTTATATGGAAGAAAGAAAATTTAAAAAATTAATCTATAAGCTGGAATGCCCTTGCGGGAATATTAAAATTGCCAGCTGAGTTTAAGAAAAAAACACTTTATGAACCTCCAAAATCTTTGTTCCACTTTAAGCCTAAGAATAATGATTTAGGGAAAAAAATCTATGATAACTTGTAGTATGAAAGGGAACAAAACAAAAATGCAAACCAAACCAAACAAAAACAATCAACAAAAGAGTAAATAATTCTTTATTAAAATATATTTTAGTTTTTTTTTCTCTTTTTGCCTCTGTATAAAAAGAAAGCCATGTTTTGGGGATAATAGGGCAGAATAACACAAAGCATGCTTAGTTATGAACAATCATCAGTTTTGAGGATACAAATGAATAAAATTCTGAAGACTTATTTTTGTAACTTTGGAATTGAAAGCACACAGAATAGCGCTGTGCGAAGTTGGTTCAACATGCACATCTGGTGCTAACCTACCTACGAAGTAGAGCAATCATCATTTAAAATTTCATTAGGCATAGATGACTGTAAAAGTCTGGTTTATTGTCTCCTCATAAAAAGTTTCAGATATACTGATTTTTTTCCATTATTATCCAATTTTCAAGTAGAATCATAATTATTATTCATTAAAGCAGAAGTTGAAAAAGATTATGTCTTTCCCTGTTACATAGAAACAAGACTTTAAAATTATTTCAAAACATGAATCATTCATGTAATATCTGTTATCTTGAAAGATATTATATCTAGTTATTGTATTATTGTCTCTTTATCTTAGGCAGTAAAAATCATGTTAAATTTACATCTTTTTTTTAAGATTAACAATTTTGCTGTGCCTTTTTATGTAATTAAGTGTTATACATAATAAAAAGTAGAATAATTCAGTTTTAAAAAGTTATTTCCAAAAGTCTTAATATAATAGATCAATAATGAGTTGTAATTTCCAGGAGTAATGATACATGACATAGTAAGGGGCAAAGTATGCTAAATTTAATGATATTGTAATGATTTAATGATATTGTAAATAAATACTTAAAAAAAATCTCCAAATTCAGTAAGGAACACTTTTAACCCTTAATTGTATATAAAAATAATTCCAAAATTTATAGCAGTAAAATATATGGGAACCTATTTTGTTTCATTAAAATATATAGATAAGTTTAATCTTTTATTAAAAAACTATAAAGGAAGTATTGGTACTGTGTATTGACTCTATAATTTAAATTCGTACAAGATACATTAAGTTTTGCACAAATGTAATATGATTTATAATTATAGCCAACACATTTCAATCAAGTGATATAGTTGTGTTTGCTGAAAAAAAATATATATATATATACGTGTGTGTGTAAAGAAAGATAATTCTTCTTTTGCAGTAGTGGCTGCTCTATACGAGAGAAATGCCTGCCTCTTAGACTTACTTAAAATGTATATCCAAGTTTTGAATATACAGCATAAACAAATCATACCACCTACACACGAAAACATGATGTTAAAGTGATGGGACTTTCGAGAGAAACTAATCAAGTAGTGAAACACAAACTTCAAACAAAATATAAAGCAACTGAATATTTGGCATGATCAGATGGAAATGCTGCCATTTAGGGAAGTGAATTTCACCTCAGTATAAAGAAAGATTATTCAGAGTTCATGAATACGCTTCAACATAGACAGACAACTCTAGATAAACTCAGAAGAAAGATCCTAATGGGCTCAACTGAAAAGGGCACCAATAACAAATGAAAACATTAGAAAAATTATTTTCTAATAAAATAATGGCACTGGCCTGTATTAGGGATGCTAAATCCCAGCATACAATGAGGCCCGGGAAAAATCTGTAATTTAATGAAGGAGAACAAGATAAATACTGCAGAGATGAGATCACAGCTTGAGGAGGATGGTCTAATACAGTGGTACTCAAATTTTAGCATGCATCAAAATTATCTGGATGGCTTATAACTAGTTCCTATACCCCAACCTCCAGTTTCAGACCCCAAAGGCCTGGGTTAGGGCCTCAAAATATGCATTTCTAATAAGTTCTCAGGTGATGATAACACTGATGGTCTAGGGACCACTCTTTGACAACCACTGGTTTAATGTTACAGCTGTTAGAGGAAAGACAAACCTGTCTGCTCTTATATTGCTTCTCTGTCAAGGAGAACTGTAATGAGTACACCAAATGAGGCTGAAAAAAACAACACTGAAGGTGGAAGATTAGGAATTAAATGAATACTTATTCATTGTAAATAAATTCAAGCTTCTAAACCCGGACAAATCACATTCCATCTTGGAACATAGATGTGGAAATTGGCACCATGGCTAGTGATTTTTGAGAAATTATGGCAGGTGGATGGAGCACAGTGACAATATTATATCAATTATCCAAAAAAGGAAAACGATCAATTCTGGAAACCAAGCACTAGTGAGACTGCATCCTGACAACATTTTGTTAGGTTTTCAACAGGAGATAGTGATTTCTAATGCCCAGTGCAGGTCCACTACAGGTTGCCAAATCATGATAGTTACCTTACTGTTTTGCTATGACCATACTCTACATAGAGTATTTAGATTAAATCCAGGAATGAGAATATGAGATTAGTTTCTCATATTCTTGTGATCATGACAGGACCTGAGATTCTGTACAGATGTTTAATGGTTTTGAGTTGAATCTGAAAGCTCCATGTAGAGGAGGTCTGCTGGCAGTAAGGGGGTGCCTTACTGAATATAGCAGGTTTCTCTACTAGGTTTCATGCCATTCAACTCTTTTAACTACAGTTTGAATAAAGACTTAGAAGGTAGTCTTATAAAACTTTTAGTCACCAAACAATGGAAATGGATAGTATGCTAACCTGAAATTGGTAAAATAATAGCAAATAGACATAACTGCAAAGGACAAATTTCTTTTTCAAGGAAAACATACCAAAAACAAAACCTTTACAAATAAGACTGGGGATGCCCTGACAACTTCTACAAAAAGTTTTAGGAATTTCAGGTAAGTTGACACTAGTACTGAAATAGAAATCATATGCAAATCATTAATACAAGTAAAGAGCCCACTGTGATAAATGCTGGGTGAACATGTATATATTTGAGCACGATAATTTAAAATTATTGATAAATCGGAGGCTACCTTGGGCATCGTGCCTCAGAGAATGCTACAAGAAATGAAGGATGAAACAAGGCTTGTTTAATCTGAAGAAAAAAATACTTGGATTGGGCTAAATGATAATTGCTTTAAGATAGTTGGATATTTAGATGAAGTAGATATTCACTGTTGTTTTGAAAGGCAGCACCAAGATCAACAAATAAAAGGTAAAATGAGGCATATTCTGTTCCTACAAAGGACCATATTCCAACAATTGGAACTATCCCCCAAAATTGAACATATAGTTTCCTTTAAAACTATTGAGCCATCTACTCTGGTGAGAATTTAGCCACAGGCTGGGAGATTATGGCATACAACCCTCTAAACAGGACGTGCTGCAGAGCTTCTCTTCACCCTTTGTAAAATTAAAACCACAACAACCTTAATACACATACAGACAATGCAATTCCATCTTTACAATAACCCATATTCCGTACTTGATAAAATAGAGGCACAGAAAGGTTAAATTGACTGGCCTTACACCCAACAACCATTACTTGGTGGAATGGAAATCTTATGTCTCCATGTGAAAGTTTTTCTGCTGTCATGGTGTTTCCAATGAACCATTCTTAGTTTTTCTCTCATTTCTCTTGTTCTCTCTCTCTTTTTCTCTCTCTCTCTCCTTCTTCCTCCACAAACACACTTCCATTATTACAGTCCTTCCATTTTAAGAATTCTATTTTGTCATACACATAAATATGGAGACAGTGACTCCATCTTGAATGCTAATCCACCATTTTGATTTCTCAATAACCCCAGTCCTATGAATGCCTCCTGATTCTTACTTTATTTAGTGTGCTTAATGTAAGAACATGTACTCATTACAAATTCTGCCTGTAGATCAAAGCAACCTTGATGTTATTGTACAAATCATAGGCTATGAGGCACATAGCACTCTTGCCCATTCTGGAGGGTTGCCTTTAATTGTCTATACAGCATGTTTCCCCTTTCCCTATGGTATATAAACCCTGTGTCTGAAGAGTAACTGTGTGGGGATCTATCTGTCTTGCTGCTGCCCAAGACTACACTCCTGTCTGTAAGTTCCCTAATATCCTACCTTTTACCAACAACTGGATTTTTCTGCCTCGTTCTTTGGTTTCTCAGCTCCTTTGGCATTTGGGGGCTGCTTTACATATACAGCCCTTTCACAGAACAATATGTAATGTGTAAACCACAGCATTTTCTTTAAAATTAAAATCTATAGAAATGATTGAACATCCCTACTGATTAGATTTCAAAATCTAAATATTCTTACCTGATCGACAGGCAATGTCTACATCCTTTTCAAAGTCTGTCTGTAACAATAAATAATAAGACATAGAACCATCATTTAATGAAGACCTCAAGTGTCTTTTACTAATCAGATTATCTGAAGTTTACAGATATCTAACTTGGCAGTACAAGTTTATTGTTTTGTTCATAGGAAATTTCTCTATGTATAATTAGATTGTTTTCAACAGTGTTTTCTAGAGCCCAAATGTTAAATAAAATCAAAGGAAACATAGCACACAATTTTAATAAGATAATACAATACCCAGTGTCATCTTCAGTCTGGAAACTGATTACTATATATTAGAAGGATAGAATTTTAAGGCAATTCTCTAACCATAATAAAGACATCAGAATGTGAATTATTATGAATATTCTTAAATAATTATGTTTGTTATTGGCATTTTTAAACATTCAATTTGAATATATTGCTTGTAATGTAACATCTTAGAATCCAGCTTTGTCAAACTAGGTTAAACTAGGCTCAAACTAGGCTCTTCTAATGATTCATTTTCACTCAAATGTGGCAAAAAGCTTTCAGGTTTAGGACTTAAAACTGAAGATTAAACCATACTCATCTGGTCGAGAACCTTCTGGGGTTTAGTTGTGACCTCATATTTTCCTAAAACTTTTATTTTAAGCAAATCAATTAATGTTTTGAAATGATAAAATTTCATTATCTTGATCAGGGTCTTCCAATCAAATGCCTTTCCCTATTAATATTTTAAATCAGAGATTTTGGCTATCTATTTGTTTTTAGTAAGGAGTTGATTATTCTTTGTAAAGTCTTAGTTACTAATGTATCATCTAGTTTATTATTGTTGCCTAGTTCAAAAAAGTTAATAATAAATTGAATATACTGTAAAAGTAAAACTGTCCTATTTAATTCCTGCTTTAAATGACAGAGTTTAAATCTCATCTTATTTCTAAAATACATCAAAGTGGTTATACCTAAAGTACACTTTGATTCCAATAATAACCAGAGCTCATGTACAATAACTGGTCTTTCACTAAAAGAGTGGCTACTCCTTACACTTTAGAACAGTGGTTCTCATCTTAGGCTGCATACTGGAATCACCAATACCTAGGTCCTACTCCCAATATTTTGATTTTAATTGGTCTGTGGTGTAGCTCCCCTGATGATTCCAATGTTTCACTAAGGCCAAGAACCACTGCTTTAAGACTAGAAGTGCAGGTTCATAGTGTTCTGATCTGTAAAAGACATCCACATGATCCTATGCATAAATCATTAGCCCTAATTCTACGCAAGGAGGAACATACTTCACAGTGTTGCATAGGACTCCCACACTCAACACCCCAGGGAGCCAACAACATGTCCTGGACTCTGAAGCCATCTGGAAATAATACTTCTGTGGTACCAGAGTTCACAGTCTATTAATGAACTGAAGCCAAAGTCAATCAAAATGAAAATTTTACACTATTTTACTCATAAGGATTTCTTTTATTCCCTTGAGAAATCATGAGTTAATTAACAATCGGGGAAAAATAAAAACTCACCATGATTTGAGCATGCCCATTAGGAAACGAACTCGAAGAATCTGCATTGATGGGATCCTGACAGTTTCTCAATCGGCATCTAAATGCATCCTGAACCTGTGGGGAGGGGGAACACATTAATTTTCTTCTCTCTTAATAATGACAAGATACTGTCTATCTTGGCAATCAGCTCTGAGGCAGTGGTTATCACTGATTTTACTATCTTATACTGATTTTGTTTACTTCTTTTTAAAAAAACTTATTATTATTACTACTATTATTTTTTGAGATGGAATTTCACTCTTGTTGCCCAGGCTGGAGTGCAATGGTGCGATCCTGCCTCACTGCAACCTCCGCTTCCCAGGTTCAAGTGATTTTCCTGCCTCAGCCTCTCAAGTAGCTGGGATTACAGGCATGCACCACCACGCCCGACTAATATTGTATTTTTAGTAGAGATGGGGTTTCTCCATGTTGGTCAGGCTGGTCTCGAACTTCTGACCTCAGGTGATCTGCCCACCTCGGCCCCTCAAAGTGCTGGGATTACAGGCATGAGCCACCGTGCCCTGCCTTGTTTACTTTTTAATACAAATGCTGGTGTACCTGGACTTTTGCTGTATGCCAAGGAAATTTATTGCTTGCCATAACCTATAGAGGGAAGTGCTGGGAACTCCTTAGCTATCAAAATAGCTATATCTGGCTCAACACTAATAATTCTTGCCAGAAGGCAGATTTATTCCACTGTTGTACGTAATATGTGTGTCTTTTAAGGGAGATTTACTATTTGCTATGGCATTATCTTCATAACAGCTTTAAATATTACGAAAAATGAGATTATTCAATGATCTTTTGACTGAAATTGATTTGGGATGTTTCTTTTTATGTCTCATGTAAGAAATCTTTGAGTAGACTATCTCTTGTCTCCCTTCAAGTACTATGTGCCCTGATTTAAAACAAAACATAATGAAACAAAAGGGAAACAAAACAGCACTACTTCTGGTGGACTGACTTGCCAATAAAGTCACTTTGCAAAGCCAAACTTCCTTAATATCCAAATATCCATTTATAATCAAATTCTGAAGAAAGAACAAACACATCTCACGAAAGTTCTAAGAACATTACATTAATTCTTTTGTTAAAAAACAAGTCAAGGAACATGAATAGCTGAGTAACAAACACAAAAAGCAATTGATAGTTATTCTGTTCTTACAGTGTCTCAGCATCAGCCTGTTCTTTCCACTTCCAGAGGTTCATCAAGCTCCCCACGAGCTGTTGATGGACATCTTTCCAAGTAGCTACTTATTCCAAGTCAATGTCAATGTCATTTCACTACTTTGTTTTTCTAACTTCATATTATTGACTTTCCCTTTCTTGTTTATTACACTCTGTTTTATTGGATTAAAAAACAAATCATAGATGATGTTTTCCCTATTTTACTGATGCATCATTATAGGGACTAATAAGGTTAACATATAGAGATTTTCACTTTTGAGAAGCAGTGATATAAGATCTCTTGTCACCATTTTGATGTGAGATATTCATAATATACCTGTTGGCCAGGAAACAAAACAAAACAAAACAAAACTGAGCCTATTACATTGTTTTTAGCTTCCTCCTTGTCCTCTCACTCATTTCATAGTCATTAGTAGCCTCTCTCCTAAATTGCCACATTGCAGGATTTGGAAACTGACACTAAGTCTAATCACAACCAAAGACTGGCCAACTGGCCCAATAATGAGACCTCTGTCCACTTCTATTTCTCCACCTCCGGTCCTAATCCTACTGATGTGGCCATAATGTCTGTGAAGTAAAGGAATGGGGATAGACTCAGTGTTCTCTGACCTGTCTTCCATTCTATTACTCTAATATTTCTAAATTTAGAATTTCTTTGAAAAAGAATGCATTACCTGATACCAAGCAAGGTAATTTCTTATTTCCTTTTTCAAACACATCAGTTAAGTACAGACGTAGTGAAATCTAGTCTGATCATCTTTTCCTGAAGAACTGAATAAATATTTATAACTAAATAATCTAGCTTTTCCTGGTAAAGGAGACACAACTGGGATAAAATTAGATTTTTCAGATGTGAAGGCTTTCAAGCTCCTCCTTTTTAGATTAAGAAGTTGTTGTATGTTCTAAAGAGAGACATTAGTAATCGAAAATTGGTAATGAGTCTTTGTCAGATCATTACTTTTTCTATTATGCAGACACTTGATTTGGGGAAACCATTAAGAAAGTATATCTGTTTTTAGAAAAAAAATCCTAGAAACCAATGTCAGAAAAATAGGTACATATTAACTTTCTGTTTGCACCTCAAGGCAACTATTAAAGAAAGACATTTTACAAAGGAAGATAAACTGTGTTAGCAATGGTGCCTTCTGGGAGCTTGTCTCATGAAGATTTCTATCAGACATATTTCTAGGTCAGCATATATAAAATGAGAAATATTTTGGCAATACCAAAGATTAATTTGAATGGTCCTTGCTAACCACTCCCAATTTTCAGACCTTCAAAGCATAGTTACCAATATTTTTGGCTGACTATGAAATATGGAAATACAATTTTTGTAGGTTTCTTTTCAAAATCAACTCTTAGTTGCTTGAAGGAGATGTAAAAGAAATCCACGTCTTTTCAGAACACACACACATATAAAATCAATACCTTTCACTACCAAACTCCCAAATGGGACAATAGATTAAGGGCATTTCTACACTGAATGATGATGTCAGCTTCATGAATCATTAAATGCTATTCAGAAGAAATATAAATCAAAAAAGAATAAATATTCTCCAGTAAATTCAAGGTCATTTTAATGGTCATATGTCACAATTTAAGTGCTAGATTCTCTGACACTTTTAGTGCCTCTGATACCTCTAATTTAGAAAGATTTGCATAAGAAATTCTACTTTATTCTAAATGCTCCATTTTATTTATTTTTTTAATCTTAAAAACGTATCTGGGGGCAGGGCGTGGTGGCTCATGCCTGCAATTCCAGCACTTTGGGAGGCAAGGCGGGCGGAACATGAGGTCAGGAGTTCGAGACCAGCCTGGCGAACATGGCAAAACCCCATCTCTACTAAAAAAATACAAAAATTAGCAGGGCGTGGTGGCAGGTGCCTGTAATCCCAGCTACCTGGGGGCTGAGGGAGGAGAATTGCTTGAACTCGGGAGGCGAAGGTTGCAGTGAGCCGAGATTGTGCCATTGTACTCCAGCCTGGGTGACAAGAGCAAGACTATGTCTCAAAAAAAAAAAAAAAGTATCTAGGGAATCTGGATGAATTAGTCTATATTAGTCTTAAATATTTGTCCAACACTGTCAGGAAAGAATGATTAGATTAGATTTCATAGTGCACATTTCTTATCACAGAATAGAATACTTCAGGCAAGATGGTATCTGGAAAACGCATTCACAGCTATTTGAACGTGTTTGGATAATTAATTGAATTTTGTATCTGGTAAACTAAGAGAGACTTGATTTTGGTGAATTGATGTGAATTGTGCTGATGAAGAATAATTGAGTTTTTGTAAAAAGCAAGTCTATGTTTCAAACAAGCAGAAAACGCAAAAAATAAAAAAAATAAAATAAAATAAGACAGATTCTAGATCTTGCTTTCTCAACCAGAATATTAAAATATTCTGTGCCAACAGTCATATTTCTAATGCCTGGCAATAATATTATTCTTTGACTTACCATTTGGAAAATCACTTATTTTAGGTAACAACTAAATTTAAGATTTATTAGATATTAAAATCATTGCATCTTTGAGTTCTTGTGAAATTAACATTAAAAAAATTACTTGATACCAGTAAATGCAATTTTTTTACTAAACCTATAGGAAACAATTTAATATTTAAGATAAATTATGGCACAGTTAAAATCTAGACTTCAAATTTTTTCTTTTTATAATAATCTGTAATAGATCTTTCACCTGAATTGATAGGCAGAGGGTCAAATATCTGCAGGAGTAGCAAGGAACAGATATGTAACTAATATTGGGATATTTAGGAGACTTTAAGGCAATCTAATGGCATGTTGTAAAATGAAAAAAAAAAAGAATGGCGAGAAACATCACACAATAAGGTGAAGAAAAAACAATAAGCTATCAAGGTTGTCTCCTGAAAAGAATCTAACCATGCACTTCCAAAGTTATTTTGACTGGCTCCTGCTGGGGGTTGCTCTAAAAACTCCTGAAAAAGCTATAAATGCTGATGGATTTTTGGATGAGACATGAGTTCAAAGAGGTTTGCAGGGGTGTGTCTCGCTCTTGTCTTCTGAACCAGGAGAGGGATTCACTTTATATCAACAGCAGCAGGCTGAGAGCTTCTGGACTGGTCTTCGCTCTGAAGGCAGCTGGTAGCGCGTCATTGTGGAAGCTGGTGCCAGAGTTAGAGACTGCTAGGGAAGAGCACCGAGCGATGTTTGGCAGTGTTGCAATTCAGACAAACCTCACAGGAAAGAGCTCCACAGTTTGAAACGGGCTCTGTATTTAGCTACTGAGCAAATCAGACCCTGAATCTTCACTTTTAAGAAGACAGTTTTACCTACAGTAATTCTTCTTGATTTCCTATTCAAGAGGATCATTCTAAGCCAGGAAAATAAGTAAAGTTACATTCTTGTAATTATTTGTAATTTTTCCTTCGGGGGAGAAGAGTTTCTTATGTGGCCTTTTATTTTTTGAATCTCATTTCTACCATTGTTTCATATTTTAACAAACAGCTCAGCTTTTCATAATCATTAAATTCTATACAATCTAATTATGAAATGAAAGACTTTTCAATTTCATATGTATTATGATAGTTGATATGACAATTGACATGAATGAATTATGAGTGACTTCACATTATTAATATATTAAATGACTTTGCTGATAGCAAAGTCAATAAACAAAAAGTGAAAATCTGCCATTTACTATACAATGAAAGAAAAAGATGCATTCCAGATGCAAATTTCAGTCCCAATGACTTTCTATTAGAATCCCTTAATATCTAAAGGATCTATCACTTAATCTCTAAAATTGTTATACCTCTTTACCTTCAAATTACTTTTTATATCAGTTTGAGGAGGTCATATAAGCTTCTCTAAATTATATGTCATGTCCATGATCTGAAAAATATGTAGCAGCATTTCTTCAGCATGAGAATAGAAAGGAAGGAAAGGGACATTATGTGTCATACACCAGGATCCCATGCCTTCTCAGGTGATATTTCATTTCAGCCTCATGCCATCCCCTTTGTGGCAGACATTATTTCAGTGTCACAGAAGAGGACCTTGAAGCTTAGAGAGCTTAAGTAACTTGCTCAAGATCATAAAAATAACAAGTAGCAGAGCTGGGAATGGAATCAGGTCACTTGACTTGAAAGCTAGTCTTCATTCCAATGTACCACTCTATTGTCTTACTGAACAAAGCATAAGATAGTTTAAGTGAAGGAATAAACCAAAACAATTATCTCCAACTGGTCAGAAATTGAGTGGCTGTACCATAATTTCCAACCTTTTATGATTTAGATAAAAAATAAGACATGAGTTAATAAGTTTTCAGTTTGAACCTTTATTTAAGACATATTGAACCTCCAGTTATTAGTTTAACAATATTGCAAGGACAATCTAGGAGTGGCAAGGAGAGAAAGGTGAAATTTGTCCATCCACATATCCACATGTCTGTGTCCACCTACTCTTCTTCTTTTTTTTTTTTGGCAGAGTCTTGCTCTGTCATGCAGGCTGGAGTGCAGTGGCACAATCTCAGCTCACTGCAACCTCCACCTCCTGGGTTCAAGTGATTCTCTGCCACAGCCTCATGAGTAGCTGGGACTACAGGCGCCTGCCACCATGCCCGGCTAATTTTTTTTTTTTTTTTTTTTGCATTTTTTAGTAAAGACAGGGTTTCACCATGTTGGCCAGGCTGGTCTTGAACTCCTGATCTCAGGTGATCCACCCGCCTCAGCCTCCCAAAGTGCTGGGATTGCAGGCGTGAGCCACTGTGCCCAGCCTACTCTTCTTGACTAGAGACAGAAGCACCATGCTGCTACCCAGAGTAGGGAACAGCTGGGACGGCAGTGTGAGGATCCTGCAGAAGAGCTGTGGGTAACAGCAAGCAATGGTTTGATGTTAACGGCAGGCATGACAGAGTTTGTCAATTTCTGTTACAAACTCTCTGTCTGAGCTTTTTTACTGATGTCATCTCACCCATCTTATTTCATACTCTTGTTAACCCCTTAAATCTCTGCATGGACTAGGAGAACCATGTGTGAAAATCAAGACTGATGTAAATATTCATAATATAATAGCAATTTTGCTAAGTCAGGAAAGGTTAATCTGGAAGGAGAATTAGAATTTACATTTCCCTGCCTAAGAAGTGGGATGACTTTTGGGTCAAATGAGGTTGGTGAATTCTTGGAAAGGTATATAAGAATATGAGCATATTGTCCTTGCCTGTGTGATGCCCATGCTCTTATTTAAAAGCAGTTTTGTGCGCCTCATTCTCTGTTTTGGTAAAATCCAGGTTTATTTTTATACCTGCAGACATTATCCCATTTCAAGGTACTGCATTCTATTTTTTTTTTCTTTTTAGAGATGAGGCCTCACTCTGTCACCCAGGCTAGAGTGCAGTGGCTCAATCATGGCTCACTGCAGTCTTGACCTCCTGAGCTCAAACAACCCTACTACCTTCTCCTCCTGAATAGCTGGTAATACAGGTGCACACCACCACACCTGGCTAAATGTTTTTTAAATTTTTTTTTGTAGAGATGTGGGTCTCACTGTGTTGCCCAGGCTGGTCTAAAAGTCCAGGCCTCAAGCAATCCTCCCATCTTGGCTCCCAAAAAAAGTGCTAGGATTACAGGCATGAGCCACTGTGCCTGGCCCCACATCCTATTTTATTACAAATGAAACAACAAAAAAATCTGAAATGTGTTTCTTTTTGAACTTTCAATCAGGCTGACAAGGATAAAGCTTTTAGCAACCAACTCCCACCTTGCTTAATTCTTTTATTTATTATTATTATAATTTAAGTTTTGGGATAACTGTGCAGAACGTGCAGGTTTGTTACATAGGTATACATGTGCCATGGTGGTTTGCTGCACCCATCAACCCATCATCTACATTAGGTATTTCTCCTAATGCTATCCCTCCCCTAGGCCCCCACCTCCCGACAGGCCCTGGTGTGTGATGCTCCCCTCCCTGTGTCCATGTGTTCTCATTGTTCAACTCCCACTTATGAATGAGAACGTGCAGTGTTTGGTTTTCAGTCCCTGTGTTAGTTCGCTGAGAATGATGGTTTCCAGCTTCATCCATGTCCCTGCAAAGGAAATGAAACCATCCTTTTTATGGCTGCGTAGTATTCCATGGTGTGTATGTGCCACATTTTCTTTATCCATTCTATCATTGATGGGCATTTGGGTTAGTTCCAAGTCTTTGCTATTGTGAACAGTGCTGCAATAAACACAGGTGTACATGTGTCTTTATAGCAAGCTGAGTGATGTATAATCCTTTCGGTATGTACCCCAGTAATGGGATTGCTGGGTCAAATGGTATTTCTGGTTCTACATCCTTGAGGAGTCATCACACTGTCTTCCACAATGGTTGAGCTAATTTACACTCCCACCAACAGTGTAAAAGCCTTCCTATTTCTCCACATCCTCTCCAGCATCTGTTGTTTCCTGACTTTTTAATGATCACCATTCTAACTGGCATGAGACGGTATCTCACTGAGGTTTTGATTTGCATTTCTCTAATGACTAGTGATGATGAGCTATTTTTCATATGTTTGTTGGCTGCATAAATGTCTTCTTTTGAAAAGTGTCTGTTCATATCCTTTCCTCACTTTTTGATAGAGTTGTTTATTTCTTGTAAATTTGTTTAAGTTCCTTGTAGATTCTGGATATTAGCCCTCTGTCAGTTGGATAGATTGCAAAAATTTTCTCCCATTCCATAGGTCGGCCTCAGTTCTGTTCCATTAGTCTATATATCTGTTTTGGTACCAGTACCATGCTGTTTTGGTTACTGTAGGCTTGTAGTATAGTTTGAAGTCAGGTAGCATGATGCCTCCAGCTTTGTTCTTTTTGCTTAGGATTGTCTTGGCTATACAGGCTCTTTTTTGGTTCCATGTGAAATTTAAAGTAGTTTTTTCTAATTCTGTGAAGAAAGTCAATGGTAGCTTGATAGGGATAGCATTGAATCTATAAATTACTTCGGGTAGTTTTCATGATATTGATTCTTCCTATCCATGAGCATGGAATGTTTTTCCATTTGTTTGTGTCCTCTCTTATTTCCTTGAGCAGTGGTTTGTAGTTCTCCTTGAAGAGGTCCTTTACAACCCTTGTAAGTTGTATTTTATTCTCTTTGTAGCAATTGTAAATGGGAGTTCACTCATAATTTGGCTCTCTGTTTGTCTATTATTGGTGTATAGGAATGCTTGTGATTTTTGCACATTAATTTTGTATCTAGAGACTTTGCTGAAGTTGCTTATCAGCTGAAGAAGGTTTGGGGCTGAGACTGCAGGGTTTTCTAAATATGCAATCATGTCATCTGCAAAGAGAGACAATTTGACTTCCTCTCTTCCTGTTTGAATACCCTTTATTTCTTTCTCTTGCCCAATTGCCCTGGCCAGAAGTTTCAATACTATGTTGAATAGGAGTGGTGAGAGAGGGCATCTTTATCTAGTGCCAGTTTTCAAAGGGAATGCTTCCAGCTTTTGCCCATTCAGTATGATATTGGCTGTGGGTTTGTCATAAATAGCTCTTATTATTTTGAGCTACGTTCCATCAGTACCTAGTTTATTGAGAATTGTTAGCATGAAGGGGTTTTGAATTTTATCGAAGGCCTTTTCTGCATCTATTGAGATAATCATGTGGTTTTTGTCATTGGTTCTGTTTTTTATGTGATGGATTACATTTATTGATTTGTGTATTTTGAACCAGACTTGCATCCCAGGGATGAAGCCAATTTGATCAAAGTGGGTAAGTTTTTTGATGTGCTGTTGGATTCAGTTTGCCAGTAGTTTATTGAGGATGTTTACATTGATATTCATCAGGGAAATTGGCCTGAAGTTTTCTTCTGAGCAAGCTCAAAATGCTAGAATCAGTACAACCTCAAAATGTTAGAATCAGTACAACCACCTTCTAAGCAAGCTCAAAATGTTAGAATCAGTACCCTGACCCTCCCTGCCCTGAGCTACTTATGAACTTTGAAATCTATTTATCTTTCTTTACGAGACCACTCATAATGGCCACTTATCATGGTCATTGAACATTCTGACCAGAAAGCACAAAACATCACTTAGTCAATGCTTTGTCCTCAAATGTCATCAGTATTGTTTTTCTTTTGCTGCTTCAGTCATAGCTTTCTAAAAAAAAAAAAAATCACTAGGGTCCAGGATCACATAATTTGCTTTATGCCTCCATGTGCTTCATATGGTCCCAGAGAAGAATCAAACTCTCTGCTATTCACCACAGGCCCCACTCCATGGAAACCATATGCCCAGTAACCTTTCTCCATCTTCCTCTACCAGAAACCTTCACTTCCCTAATCTTCCAACCTCATTGTTCCCTTAGGAACCCATGAGTTTTGAAGTCTTTTATCATCTCCTCCTTCCTCTTCAAAGACCAACTAAAACAGCTGACCCATCCTGCAGTAAAGGAAGGCACAGATATACCCTTCCATGCTAATGAGTCATACTCAATTTCCCTGTAAGTAGTCAAACCTGGATGTTCATGTAACTCTCCATCTGAACTATATTATATGCAATATGGACCCTTTACATATTGTTGTCTAGTTATTTCATCACTACTGGCTTCATTTTTATAATGATTTACTTTGGAATATTACTGGTTTTAGATTAGACAGGTAAGGATGCTTGTCTTTTTTACATATTCACTGCCATGTGCATGTAAATCATTTTGTTTATCTGTACGCCTTGTGGAAATAATAAGACTAAATAGGAAATAGGCTAAAAAAGGGTGCGAGTGGGAGAGGGAAGAAAGAAAAGTTTTTTATTTTAAGCATTTCACTACAAAATGACTTCACAGGTTTGGATACAGATTTTGGGACCTCATCTGGTGCAGCCTAGACCTCCTGCCAGTGCTTGGGAAAGAGAAAAGAGGAGCTTGGCCCTGTTAGTGATGCTACAGAACAGCCACAGGATTCTCACACACTGATATAACAAAATTATCCATTTAAGCACTTTCCTTTTATCCTTCCATTTAGTGAAAGAGTTTTATTGTAGCTTGTTTTGTATCACGATCTTGTGATTTTCCCCCTCTGACATAGAGCTGTAAGACTGTCTTAGAGCCAGGCACAGCCAGAGACAGAAAGATGAGAAGAATGTGCAGGCACCAAGAAAGTGGTTTCCTAGCAACAGTAACTATTTCAAAGGTTTCATAACTCTTGTGTCCTTCCATTTCCATAGCAATGCGGGGAATAGTAAATAGTATATTTTGTTATCTGTTTAATTCAAATAAATTCCAATCAACCAATGATGGATAAATGAAGAAACACCTCCATACTCATTGTATTCAATTCTGTCTTATTAGCTGTTAAACATATTAGCTTCTAAGATTTAGGTTCTGTTGCTAAAACTATGTATTGTGATGAATCAGATGGCTTCTTTTTTTTTGTTCTTATTTCCTCTTTTTGTCTTTTGTTTTTTTCTCCAGAGAGATTTAGTAAAGTAATTCAAAAGAAAAGTTATTCCAGAAGAAGAAACTGTATTTTCAAGAATATAAATTTTATAAAGTTTAAATATTAAGATTTTAGGTCTGAAGGTCAGAACAAATAGTTATGCAAACATTCCAAATTTTTTTAGTGTAATATAATTGATTTGGCAGGACAGAGTAAATCATTTCTCCCTTTTCTTCTGATTTGAAATGAGTGTAAAATTGGACCCACTAAAAGAGTAAACTATCGCAAGAACAAAAAACCAAACACCGCGTATTCTCACTCATAGGTGGGAATTGAACAATGAGATCACATGGACACAGGAAGGGGAATATCACACTCTGGGGACTGTGGTGGGGTGGGGGGAGGGGGAAGGGATAGCACTGGGAGATATACCTAATGCTAGATGACGAGTTAGTGGGTGCAGCGCACCAGCATGGCACATGTATACATATGTAACTAACCTGCACAATGTGCACATGTACCCTAAAACTTAAAGTATAATAAAAAAAAAAAGAATTACAAAGGCAGGAAAAAAAAATAAAAAAAAATAAAAAAAATAAAATAAATTAGGCTCCATACACAACACATTAAAAATATCACAGTTATAGTATTTCACTTATTTTCTCCTTCTTAAACTTCAAGGCTATATTCTTCCCCTGTGTAGATCCACCTCCTCCACAGAAATAATAAATATGGGTAAAGCCTTCTGAATTCATATTGGGACAGTCATTAGAGACCAAATTATGTTAGTGTCTGTCAAAAATACATAGAAATAGAAATATATATATATCCAGTCTCTAAATTAAAAAATATATATTTTACATTGCTTATATATTTTAAGAAAGAAAAGTCCACAGGAATTTTAGTGAAGCAAATATTTTAAAGTGAAGAGCAGTAGAGATAAAACTGTATTTCTAGGATCCAATTATAAATTATCAAGTAGATTAATAGATATGAATCACTACCTAATGTTTTACATATAGCTATCTATTCCATTTTCTTTGGTATGTCTTTATGAAATTATTGTTCAGTGGAGACACAGAGGATATGGGAAGATACTTCTCTTCTCTTGGACCATGGTAATGTCAGGGCAATGTGATCACAAGTAATCTGAGATATACCCATTGCTAGTGTCAGGCAATATACCTTTAGAAGGTCAAAAAGAATTTTGGTGTTCCAAATGAGGCCTCCTATGATATCTTCCTTGGGATCTGTAAAATCCTTCTAAATAAGGTGTTTAAATGAAATCTTCCTCTAGGAATTCTGAAGCAGACTTGCCCTATACCTGAAATCTGCTCTGTGTATTTACAGTAATGTTATAGGGTATTTTTAAGGTTCAATTAAAAAAAAGAAATATGTGATTTGCCATTTCAGTGATGGAGCTAAAGAGTGTTATGACACTCTGCTGTTAATTTATTTGCTATAAAATTATTCAACTTGAACTAATAATTGAAAATGCAACAACAGAGATGTATCCATATTTTTATTTTCCATTAGTACAGAAAACATGTATTTAGAGACACCTACTTTAGCAGAAGCATTTATTATATGATTGATTTAATTACTTGTAAATCATTGTTTTTGACAGTTAATAGTCCAATTAGCAAGTACGAAAAAGTTCTGAGGGAAATGTAGAATTTTTGTGCCAAGTATTTTTCTTCATGTAAACAGCAAACATTTGATAATTAGCCATCATAATATCTGCCACTTTAAAACCTGCATATTTTGATGATAGCTTAAAACTATCTATCAAGCTTATTCTGAAGAAAAAGAGAAGCTTATATAGTGACGCAGCACTGTTCTACTCCTAAACACCTAAGGTATTAGTATCTTCTAAAAACTGCATGTAGGTATATCATCATGTATCTTACTTAAAGCCTGAAATACTTCATCCTTAATCATCAATCAAAAACATATTATGTGTCTACTCATTTAGAACAATCTTGTTACTTAATTATTAGCAATAATATTAATATAGAAGACCCATAAGATAGTTATAGTTGGAGAACATAAGCTAAATTATTATTCAATTTCCTCTTAATTTCTACTCCTTTGGTCTATAAATAATTCAATACTTGGAAGATTTTTAATGCTGATATTCTAGGTAGAAACTTGCTAAGGGAATAGTAAGGCTTGGCAACAGTAAACGACATCAGACTTTTTAAATGCTAAAATACTCTCCTCCCCTTGCAATGTGAAGTTACTGTTAATTGGTTTTCATTGAATTTCTACATAGAATGTTCTTAGAATACATGTGGGTTTATTATGGACATCTGTATCTTATTAAGACATTTATGCAGCCAACAAATATATGAAAAATAGATCATCATCACTGGTCATTAGAGAAATGCAAATCAAAACCACAATGAAATACCATCTCATGCCAGTTAGAAAGGCGATCATTAAAAAGTCAGGAAAGAATAGATGCTGGAGAGGATGTGGAGAAATAAAAAGGCTTTTACACTGTTGGTGGGAGTGTAAATTAGCTCAACCATTGTGGAAGACAGTGTGATGATTCCTCAAGGATCTAGAACTAGAAATACCATTTGACCCAGCATTCCCATTACTGGGTATATACCCAAAGGATTATACATCATTCTCCTATAAAGACACATGCACACATATGTTTATTGCGGCACTGTTCACAATAGCAAAAACTTGGAACCAATCCAAATGCCCATCAGTGATAGACTGGATAAAGAAAATGTGGCACATATACACCATGGAATGCTCTGCAGCTATTGAAAAAGGATGAGTTCATGTCATTTGCAGGGACATGGATGAAGTTGGAAACCATCATTCTCAGCAAACTAACACAGGAACAGAAAACCAAACACTGCATGTCCTTATTCATTAGTGGGAGTTGAACAATGAGAACACACGGACACAGGGAGGGTAACAACACACACCAGGTCCTGTCAAGGGTGGGGGGCTAGAGGAGGGATGGCATTAGGAGAAATACCTAATGTAGATGACAGGTTGATGGGTGCAGCAAACCACCATGGCACATGTATACCTATGTAACAAACCTGCACGTTCTGCACATGTATCTCAGAACTTAAAGAATAATAAAAAATAAAATAAAATAGCTCAGAAATATTGTTCTTCCCATCTGATAAATCAGGTAAAAGCCTCTAGTTATCTCTGCACATCACTGCAAAACTATAGGGTTTATACTCATACGTACATGTGTTTTTTTGCAATGTGCACATTGCAATAAAGTTCTCAAACAAGCTAGATAATGCAAAATGACAGAGTAGACTGTTTTCTCAAAGTGACTAGCATGGCACTATGTCATGTGTGTTTTTGTCACCAGTCATCCCTAGAGTAAATGCTAAAATGACTCATAAACCTTATAAATACTCTCAGTGCTTGCAAGCATTCAAAATAATTTTCACACAGGTTGGAAAACAACATTTTATTTCTAAACAACTCAAGTCTGAAATCTCTCACTGTCCTGGATGGATCTGGTGCTAGTTAGTGTCTGCATTCATGAAATATGACTTATTTCTTCCCCTACTACTGACAATAAACCTCAATCATGATCCAGAGAAATGCTGATATGATAATACCTCTACAGTTCTTGGAGATAATCACTGCCTATCATGTCTCACTGTATACATTTTTAGTATTTTTCTAAGAGTAAACATCCATATCAAAAGCAATAATCCATAGCAATCATAACCAAAACTTAGTATAGAGACAAAAGATCTAAGCATTCATCTTCAATGCTTTCTGCTTAAAATAGTATTAGTTAATATATGCAATGAGGGTGTGCTGTGTGAAGAAACATGAGTTAGGGAATAAGCTTAAGAACTATCACTGCATTATGCTCATGAACTGTGTCTTTAAAACTTATGCCTCTATGCCCTCTTATTCACTAGTTTTTCTAACAAGACTTATTTATACAAATCACTCCATGTAGCTTCTTTTAAATCTATTCTTCCTGGCTTTTGACACCTCTGGTTGTGTTTTTCCTGGCATAGTCCCATCTGTTCTAATCTGTCACTTTCAGAGTGCTGGGGGCTCTCCCAAGCTGTGTCTTAAAGCATTCCTTCAGCTTTGATTCCCAAGTGATTGTCAATGGAGGAGACCAGCTTTAATCTGAACATCAAGATATTAAAAGATCATTCTTTTTAGCAAGGAAATACCATTCCAACCATCACTGTTCTCTATCACAAGAATGCTTCTCACCTCTCTCCGAAGAATGCAGTGGACCATGACTATAACAAAGCCTTGCAATGAATCAAACACAGCAAAAAGTATTTGAAACAATATGGAGCGTTTATCTGTCATGGCCAGAACCGCAGACATCCACGTCAAAGCCAGAAGGGGCAACACCACACAGGAGCTCCAAAGAGACGCCCTGTTGAGACCAAGAAAGTAACATTACGTAGCTATACATCACACCCCAGGCCATAGCCAAACCCCCATTCAACAAAGCATTTTTGTATGTGGTTCCAAGACCATTAACTTGGAAACCACAAAGCAGATGACATTTGAGAGTCTTATTTTTTTTTTTATATACTATCCCACAATAGCTATAAAGACAGTTGCCAATTATAAATATTTAAATATACTCTCTGGTCTTGTATTAGAAAACACAATTTTTTTTCATCATAGCATTTTCTCACATGCACTGTAAAAGATTTGTAACAAGAAGATGTAAATGATTGGGACTAACATGGCGTTACTGGCGGTGGTGGCTGACAAAGCTGTTGTTGAAACTACTCCACACTTGGCACATTTGAGCGTCAAACCGCTATGAGGCTCACTCATCTGACTGCAAACAAACAGAACACCCACAAAAAGAACAAAATATTGAATTGTCACCAAAAAAAAATTGCTGCTTCAAGTTAGCTTTTAAATACGATTTCATGCAGAAAAGTATATTTATCAAAAATGTATGCTCTAGGTTGTTGTAAAGATGCATTTATACTACAAATTATCTTTGTAACATTTACCTTTTAATATGGGCCTTTGTTGCATGCAAAACATATTTCCATCATTACACCATAAGTGGCCCTTGTGTCTATTGATCAAAGTTGCTCAATACACTGAGTTAAACATAAGCATGTGCTTCTGTAGACATACAGTGAAAACCCTTTATTCAGACCCCAATAATCAAACATGTGAGGACTCCTAGCCCTGAGGATGTTCATTGTTAATTGCAGAAGGCATATATATCTGTGAAAACCTTCTGAAATGTAAATAATTATCTCAGAAGTCCAACATAGGAAGAAATGGATTTTAGGAGTCTTCAATTATTTGTTGAAGATGTAATTTTTTTCTCAACAGATTCATATTTTGAAATTTCTTATAATATGTATCGTCCACATTTTAGGATGATCTGAATATAGGGGCTGATGAAATTTGATGAAATATTAGTTGATAATAAAAGAGTGATAGTTTTCTGCTTTAATAAAACACATTTAACATAGTCATTAAGTTCAAAATATTATTTCTGAACATTTGTCATAGACTCCAACCTCCTAGTATTTAAATGGTCTATTCTTGTCTAGAGGATTTTGCACATAAATTCAGATTCAAACAATTCATACTCCATCTACTACATTATAGAAGCAAAGTTACATTATATGGAAAAACTTTACACACATTTTGCTTTAGAAAACTGTACCTTGAAAATTACAGATTTATTAGAAAATAAACCTTTTAGGAAAAACCAAAAAGAAATTACTTGAATTAAAAATTCCAAACAACTTGGAATAATGCTCTGAGGTGTGCATAGTCCATTCCTATGTGGTATCTATGTCTAAAATGATTACTCTGTAGGTTTTCTTAAAGAATCTTATAGCGGAGTTGCATTACTATGTGTATAAAAAAAGTGGCAGAAGAGAGAAAGTTGTAAGATGCTCATAATTTAGAACTCTGGTTTATTTTAAATAAGGGTACTCACTTGTGAATAGTGCTGATATGAGATAATAAATCTGAAAGTGATTAATTAAGTAGATTGATCAGCAGATCCTGTGAGAAAAATCAAAGCTTTCAGACATGAGTGTGGGGGTGGGGAATATGACACTAAATCCCTCGCTTTACTGATCCACTCCAGGGCACATGTAGTTGCCAAATGTGTCCAAATGTTTCAAAATAATATGTAAACATTAGTCTATCCAGTTTAGTTTAGGAATGCCTTATTGGACACGCCGATGTGTACATCCCAAAGGAGTACATAGCCTAGTATTCTCCACAGTGGCTGCACATCAGCTGTCTATCTGGCCCCAACCACAAAGACTCTAATTTAATAGGACTTAGGCATCTGCTTTTTTTAAAGCTCCATAGATTATGCTGATGAACAAACAGGAACAAGTACCACTTCTCTAACTAAACATTTGCATTTCTTTAATCTTGTTAAATCTGATCAGATTAATATGAAAAAGGCATGGATTAGTTATATATTGTTTCCTTTATCACAGAAGATAGGCTGTATGGTGTTCACACTTCAAACACTGATGCAGTTGTCTTTCTTAATCTAAGAATATGTTGCCTCTAGGCTCTGAAACAAGATCGAAAGCCAAATATTACTAAAAAATAATTTTAAGTACATAGTGTAAGTATTTTAGACCTGAAAACTGTGATTTAATCTAAGTATGGGCCTGTCTGAAAATAAATTTTAAGCCATTACTTAAAATGCTTATTTGTCTTTATTTGATATTTATTTGAGTCTAACTAGAAGACCTATGCCTACTTCCCTTAGTCAGGGCTAACTGTTAAAAACTATGCTTGATGTTAACTGGTAGGACACCTTTGGCATTCTATTACTGGATGTGCATGAAGTAGAATAAAGATAAGTTACCTAGAGACATGTAATGTTTTTTCCTAGTTTATGTGACCACTATAGAAATTAATATAATATGAAAAACTCATAGTCTAGATGCTAAATTGAGTTGCTGCATTGAAAAATGAGATCTTGTTTCTTTATTATAGAAGAAATTATTCATTTATAAAATTAAAAGTTCAAACAGTAAAAAAAACCTTGAGTTGTCCATACATCTAAATTTAACCAATATACCCACCAGGGCACCAGGGTAGGATCACATTATAGAAGCAAAGTCACATTAAATAGAAAAACTTTACACACATTACTCTTCAGGTAGTTCTGTCTGCTCCAGTTATTACTGTGGGTCTTAAAATCTACAAGTTCTAGTTTCCCTTCTCCATGTTATTTTTCCTTTTTCTTTAAAGAAAAAAAGTCTGACTGATTTATTGTTAATAACATAAAATATTCCCTGGAAAGGAAATGCGCCAGCCTCTCTTTAAAAAAAAAAAATCACATGAAATTTGTAAAGGGTACTAGTAAGTCATAGTTTCCTTAGTTTCAGGTACATAAGACAAAGACGTTTAAGGCAGTAGATAAGAAAATTCCACTGCAGAAAAATAGAGAAACTTAAATTTTCTGCTTAAGATGTTCTAAAAATATACATGCCATTTTTAATCCTGATTTTATTCACTCTATCATTTTATTTAAGATGTGTTGTATTTACAATAAATTCCTTCTTGGTAAACTAATGGGTACTAGGCTTAATACCTGAGTATAAAATAATCTGTACAACAAATCCCTGAGACACAAGTTTATCTGTGTAAAAAGCCTGTACTTCTACTCCTGAACTTAAAAGTTAAAAAGAAAAAAGAAAAAAGAATTTCAGTAGAAAAAATATTAATATAGTTTGTGTATTATAAAACTTGTTAAACTATTGTATTATTTATTAAACATTCACTTATTAATTCCTTATAAATATTTATTGAGCACAAACTATATGGTTGGCTGTTTCTAATAACTGATTATAAAAAAGAAGAAAGGGAACAAAGAAACAGAAAAAATGGGAGAAGGAACATCTTGGTACAATATTTGGTTTTTAATAACAACCTAGTTGTAAAACAAATGCTTGATATATGTGTATATTCAAATAAGCTGAAATGATTTTTACAATTAGGAGGATTGGTTGTCAAGTCGACCAATTAGTTTCCTGCTTAATGTTTCTTTAGTTAATTTTGATTATTTCTTCTTCACTGGGGACTGTTCTTCACTGTCCTCACTACTTTTCTGTGAACTAAAATTATTCAAACCTCTATAGCTTCCAAAAATTTCCTTCAATCACACTTTGGAATGGAGTACAAATTTCAATCTATATTTGCTTAAGCTAAAACAGTACTTTATATTAGAAATATAATTTGAAAACCCAAAGTAATTAATTTGTTAATAGTTCTTTTCTGCTTTGGACAGTAGCCAACATTCTGCTTTTATAACATAAGTTAACATTTCTGTTTCTCTAGGAGTGGCCTTTGAACCAGAAAAACACCCACTCAGTTTTGCCAGTGAAACATAAGTAACTTCTAAGAATATGTTTAGAATAACTTATTTGTTAATATGTAGATTGGAATGGATAATTTCTAAATTCATAATAAGACACTATTGTCATTTCTTCTAAACCTATACGATCTCTTATAAAGAGCTATATGAATTAAACTGGGCTTTACACATAAAATAATTAAATAAGAAAAAATAAGGGTATTCACTTGTTTTTTAAATTTTTTATTAAATTTTTTTTTAATTAAATCCTCAATATCATATTCATTTCAATGATCTCATCTCTTTTTATGACCTTCATGTCTTGGATGGTGGAATCATGGATTCTTGATTGACAGTTAGAGACCTTCAAAAACAACCTAATCTGTTCAGGCTGGCTTCTCAGAAGAGCAGCCACTGTTGAGTGAATGCTTGCTATATGTTAGATACTCTAAAGTGTGCTTTATACACATTATATTTTCATATACTCTATGAGGCAGGGGTTATTTTCCCCATTTAACAGATGAGGAGACTGAGTTGCAAAAAGTAACACACCCAAAGGCACATAGACACAGCTAGTAAATTGCAGAGCTTCATCTTAACCACTAAAGAGTCCCATTTTATTGTCGATGTTGTTTAAATTATGTAAGTTTATACTACTAGCAGCAGAACTGAGTTTCTATCCCAGTACTCAGTCTGATCAGTATATTCTTACATGATTAATCTGGACAGAAATAACTGAAGAAGCTTACTTCAATTTCCACCACATGTGGCGTAATAACAAGAGTAATTGTGTGAAAATTTTGTGTTCAAATGATCTAGAAAGCTGTGCTTGTACTACGTTCAAGTCTACATATTTAAGGTTGTTACAGAAACTTGTCTGCAGTGAAAAAAGCCTCTAAATGAGAGAAGTGATCCCCGCTCAGGAAGAAACTTTCAGTCATGTTTTTATTACGCTATTGCATTTCTAATGTTTTACATAAATGATATCAAATTTTTATATTGAAAACCATTAAATTTAGTCTTTTGCTAGGGAAAATAAATACCCAGATTATCTTATTGTATAAATCATTACATAGGTTATAAGAACACAAAGGACTTAAAATTTCATAAGTAACTGATCAATTAGTAGGACTATTAAATAATACCACAAATTATGGAAGAAAAGAATATTACATGGGTAAGTTTTGAATGAGGTTACAGTTCAATGGAAAGGAGAAAGCTGTAAACTTTCTATAGGGAAGGACACAAAGAAAAAACAAAGGCATTAATACTTCAAGTGTCAACAAATTTATATGATAAAGGATGATGTCACCTTAAAAAGCTACTAACAATCTATATATGAGACGTTACTGTCATTATATATACATATTTTTTATTTTATTTTATTTTATTTTATTTTATTTTATTTTATTTTATTTTATTTTATTTTATTTTATTTTATTTTATTTTATTTTGTTTTTTGAGACAGAGTCTCGCTCTGTCGCCCAGGCTGGAGTGCAGTGGCGCGATCTTGGCTCTCTGCAAGCTCCGCCTCCCAGGTTCACGCCATTCTCCTGCCTCAGCCTCCCGAGTAGCTGGGACTACAGGCGCCCACCACCTCGCCCGGCTAATTTTTTTGCATTTTTAGTAGAGACGGGGTTTCACTGTGGTCTCGATCTCGTGATCTGCCCACCTCAGCCTCCCAAAGTGCTGGGATTACAGGTGTCAGCCACCGTGCCCGGCCAGATATATATTATAATATATAATATGTCATCAGATATTTATATATTATAATAACAGTAAAATTAAAGGAGATGCTTTTCTAAATTTTATGAGGTTAAAGTGTGAAAATTATGAATAACTCTTTTTAGCCAGTTAGATTAAAAATGTCATAAAGAATGAAAATATAAGACCTAAATAGTGCTTGATAAGTAATTATTCCAAGTGAAGATTTTTTTCCTGATATATACAATTAGTCAAAGAAAATATAGTATTTTGCCCTGTTTAGGTTTGCTTGTTCTGATTCTGTTCTGTCACATACCAACACTGTGTTCAATCTACCTCCTGTTCTTTGTGACCAAAACCAGGAAGGCTTTGAAAACCCTTACCTAACGACAACTATTGCAAGTAAAGCCTTAATGTTTAACGTTCTTATCTGACAAGCAGGCAATATGCACAAGTACACTCCGAATTTCTTCATGGTCTGTTATAGTAGTTTTAGATTTTTGGTCGTATTGCTTAAAAATAGCACATTGGAAACTTTTATATAGCAGAATCTACTGGACACACTAGTACATCAATAACAAAATTCAAGGCAGAGTCAAACGCAGTCAGTGATGGTCTGAAATTGGAGTATGGGATTCACTGATAAATAACCTTCAAAATCCACCAATTGCAGCTTACCCGGCTCTGTGTTTGAGCTTTTTATCTAGGATTCCATCTCTGGAAACAAGTTTATTAAATACCAAAATGCCAATCACCATGTTGACCTGTCAAACAGAAACAAAGTTGACCTTTCAATGATATTGAAGGGAATCAGGTCCCTGTTTCTCCTGAAAATCCTATTTTTATCAATTCATAACCACCGTATCACTAGTAGTGGTATGAAGCACTCTCAAACATTTTATAAGTGAGCAGAGGCATACGGAACAATTTAACAGTGGTGTGCTACTTTAAAGTTGTAAAGTACATTAAGTTCATTTAATTTCCATGCTTTGCAGTTAACACTGGGGAAATTAACCTTCAATTGCCTGAATTTTAAATGGTACCATACTATGCCAATCTGGCATTCTTCTGTCTGAGTCAACCCTGAGTAAAATCATTTGGCTAAAGCAGTTTTACCCTATGCCCATGAGCCAGGAGATTCTGAATCTTAGAGTATGAGGTTAGGGTGAGCCCTGGCAGCAAAAGGTGCTGATGATTTGTCATTATTCCCAACACAGAGGACAGAATGCTTAAATTCCTCATGCTGTGTGGTTATTCTTTTCTGTGGAAGGGGAGCATTTTGATGTACCATGCTTTTCTAAGCAGAAAGGAAAGCCTATTCAATTCACCAGAATCTTTTTCACAATGGACACTAGTGCCAATTTTTAAAATATGCTCTAGTGTACAGTTCTATCATTTTCTTTCTAAGACTTTCTTATTCTCACTTAAAAGGTCTTTTGCATGATACATGAAATGAAATCACACATATTTTTCCTTTTTCAAGTAAAACTGTAAAAACTGCATAGATGTCTATTTGTACCAGCTTATGATGAGCCCCGACAGTTCTCTAATCTACCAACACTTTCTGATCAAGGAATCCAGTCCAATGAGTAAATGAAAAATATGTTCTTCTTTTTGCCTTTCTGGCCTCTTTCCAATCTTGGTGTAACCCTGCCCTGCTGCCAATGAAGATGGTGAATATAAAGCTAAAATGTGTCCAGTTGCTAACGTAAGGAAGATGCAAAACATACCTATTAAGTATGGACTTAGGAAGAGTCACTCTTCATAGTTTCCTGACAAGATACCACTTAATCAAGAGAATACTTATTCATCTATGTACCTCTCATTTAAACTAAGAGAAAAAGTGTATTCTATGGATTCTAGTAATCTACAACTTAATCATAAGGGAATTTGTCACCCCTCCAAAGACCATACTTTGGTGTTTCAATTATATACACACTGTGTTTCTTCATTTTAGTGTTATATTGGCATTAACCTAGAAGCTTAGGGAAATAGTTCAGTTGATTAAATAAAAATTCAAAGCAGCAGACAAAAAAGGTGTCTAATAGTTTTGATTTCCCTTTGCACTAAGATTCTTGCCTTGATTTTATTTTTCTTGCAAATTATAGACAGTTTCTGCTCCCTGTTACAGCTTAGTTGAGGGAGAACAAGCTTAAAGGGAGAAAAAAACAGACATATCAGAATTAGTAGGATGTCACTACCTTCCAATTTTTTGAATGAGTCATTCAAGAAACCAAAGAGTAACTTTCCAATTAGAAATATAATTGTATAGCAATATGAATATTTATATTTAATTTAGACAGTTTCTTTCCTCCCTTATTTTCTTTAAAGATTTATTGGGCAAGAAAAACTTGTAATCAATAAATCCAAAAGGAGAAAGAGAAAGGCAAATTGGAAGGAAATATTTCACATTACCGTAGTTTAAAATTTTAAACAATTATTTTGTGGTTTCAAAAGAGAAATTTAAAATCCTTATCTATAACATATGGGAATGATTCTTAAACAGAGATGATTTTGACCCCCCGGGACCATTGGAAAATGTCTGAAGATGTTTTTGAGTGTTATGACTAGGGGGTACTACTGGTATGTAGTAGGTAGAGAAGAAGGATGCTGCGGAACCTGGTAAAACACATAAGACGGCCTCTGCAACAAACAAACATATGATCCAAAATATCAGTATCACTGAGGTCGAGAATATATTTCCTTTAGATATTTGATAGGGGCAGCATTAAAGAGATTTCCCTATTAATAACCATACGTAATAACCATATGTATTGTACAGAATAGTGTAAAGGTGAAATTATGGTAAATGATGAGATTCTATACATTAAAGAGGAAGAATTCATTAAAACTTACTCAAACTTTTTCACAAATCTGAAATTACTGTAAGAGAAATACCACACTCCCAGTTTAATATTCTTCAGTATTCAAAATAAGAATATTTTAGAATAATAAAGGGCTGAATAATAATTTATATTCAATTAGAATAATAGTCCATTGAACTTTAAAATTTCTACACAAGAACTACATTATCAAAATTGCCACTCTAATTGAAAGAAAGTAGTCTTTTTTTTTTTTCCTAAGAAAACAAAATAGGTTGATTTTGATGTTTACCAGGACAACAGCGGCTGCAGGTCCCACAAAAGCATAGAGTAGTCCTCCTTCAAGAGAGAGCCAGCAGCTGAAAATGACATTAGATAAGAACTAACAAAAATTAGTGACAAGTATTAGACCACTAACGTGTGATACAAACAACTTAGATTATACATTTTGCCTTGGAATTTTGGCACATGTTAAACATTTGTAATAAAAAATACATAGAAGATGTAGAAAAAAACTAGAATTATATCATTTCATAAGTAAGAAATACTATATATATCTAACTCAAAAGAAAGTTTTATTACAAGGTTTTACTTTCAGGCAGTTGAAACATTTTAGACAAATTACTATTGCAATGAGGTTTCTATATTTACTGTCATTACAAAGTTGAGTATTATTTACATTTTATAAAATGCTGCTTTATATCCATTATGGATTTTTTCAAATGTACTTTAAAGCAAGACCAGTGTATTTTTTTTTAGAGTTTTAGACGTGCCATTTACCTGCTCTTCCTCGAGGTCATTGAAATATTGGGAGAAATTGGTTTAAAAGCCATCATTGCAGGGAATGGATAAGCTACATTTGCATGCTATTTTTCTTCTAATTTTACTTTTTCACCAAACTACTAAGAAAATTCTCTAAAGATAAGCTTTTGAATAAAAATAAGTGCAGCTGTGTTTGTTTCAATGCCTAAATTCACCAAGAGATGTAGGTTTGCATTGATAGAGACAAGATAATCCATTTGGGGAGAAACAGTCTCTCACAGCAGAGGGAAATGCAGAGGGAATGGGGCTGACACTGGATGCTTTGCAGGGTGGCACATCTGCTCATGCAGAATCCAGGAAAGTGAAAATGAGGGAAGTGTGAGGGGCTGCTGGTGCAAAAAGTCATGGCCACCATTTCATGCACCAGTTTTTTGACATTTGACCCTTTAACTATTTCTTCTCAGCTTACAGCATCAGCATGCTGCCTTCAAAAGCAGTAACAATGAACAGTAGCTGCTCTATATCTGTTCTAACAATAAACTGCTCTATGTTAATTGTGATGGTGGTTACACGAGTTATGTATTTCGCAAAACTCACAGAACTATACACTTAATAGGGTGAATGCTACTCTATGTAAATTATATCTTAAACATATTTACCTAGTATGTAAGGTAATTATATATGTACACAAAGAGATACTATATCAGCATAGATATACCCAAATATGTGTATGTATATTCAAAGCCTGCATTTAGTTATTGCTCCTTGACATAACAGCAGAAAGATAAAACCGTACTTTTCCACTTTAATATCTATTTTTAAATAAAATACCTGGAGAAAAAAACCTTAGTCTGACAGAACACTTTAGATTGTGTCTCTAAGACTGCCACTAAATTCCCACTGTATTTTTGTGTAAACTAATCTCTGCCACTAAATTCCCACTGTAATTTTATGTAAACTAATCTTCAAACTGAGGTTTAGTATATCTTTCAAGATATACTAATAGAGATTCAGTATATCTTTCAAGATATACTAATAGAGATTCAGTATATCTTTTATTTTTTCCCTAGGGGTTTACACTGTTATAAAAACTTATGGCTATAAAATAAATGCATTACTTATTGTATTGTATTGGACTTTAATTATGAACTCTTTGAAAGTAGGAACCATCACATATATAACCTTACTTATTCCCATATTCTCAATACAGTGACTTTCCAAAAATAGATGTATACCAATAATTATGCTATTGTAAAAAGTAATAAATTAAGGTGCTAGTGCTGTAGTAACCAGTACTGTGCCATCTATGCTATCAGAATTTTTAAAAATACTATAGATGGCACAAAAATGCTCTGATGACAGGAGCGTCTTAAACTTTTCAGAAGTTTCTTTAGGATAAACAGGTGAAATAATATCTCTCAGTATGTTTACAATTTGTACGAACCTATCAGAGGGTCTAATTGGCAGTGATTCCTACCTCAAACCCAAAATAATTAAACAGAACATCATGCTTTAAAACATATGCTTTTAATAAGATGCACATTTCTTTCCCCACTTCTTAACTGCCTCCTCAACTTGGATGCAGATAAAATAAAACATGAAAGTGCACTGTTTAGATTTAAAATGTTAAATTCAAACACAAATTCTCTCACAGAATTTATCAGCTCTACCACTATAAAATAAGCTGATATCATATACCTTTTCTCCCTTTTAATTTCTTCCACGGTCCAAGTATTTTCTAATGTAAAATCCATTGGTTCCCTTGATCTATAATTTTTAGTATGCATTACCCTAACATAGCAAGAAAACTTGAACTAACATGACAAAACTTGGTTAATAACAATACACATTATCATCAATGGAATTAGAAGCTCATAGCAGCACCACGTTCTAAAAAGTAAGTATGTCAAGACTTATCCAGTTCTCAATTTATTTGAGATTGGGCATGCAAAATAAATATTGAAATATTTTAAAAGCCAAATATGCTGGTCTTATTAAGAAATGGGAAACTAAAACAAAGATTCTGAATAGTGCCACAACATTTATTTCTTAACCTTTGTAGATTTAAGCTACCTTGTTTTGTTCCTTACTAATGCAATTTCTACCATTGTTAATGATTCCATGATAAACTGCAAGCCATCAGCAGTGCCAACCAAGACTCTTTGATGATTTGTTAAATTATAAACATGATTTATCTCTGTGGATGGACTTACTAGTGATCAGTGCCATATCCTTTTGTTCTGGTGAAGCCTACTGATGTGGCCACTACTAATGCTGGTAAACCTGCAAGAAAAGCAATGTCACGCATTCATATTTAGCTATAACCACTATGCATACTGGTCTAAGAAAAGCCAGAACAAACTCCAGGTGCTCAAATTAGATAAACTATCTTTGGATGAGTCACTTCACAAGGTATGTTTCTATTACAGGATTTCTTTCAAGTTGAAAAATATGAGAGAGGTACCTGAGCTTTTAACTTACTGCACTTCTCTGGTGTTGCTAGGTTACCACCACATTTGACACGGGTTTAAATGGAAGTAATAACAGAGATTTAGTACATCTTTTAAGTTATTTTTTTCCCTAGGGGTTTACACTGTTATAAAGGAAATTTATAGTTATAAAATCAGAAAGGCAAAAACTGGATGTTCTGGTATGATGTAATATCGGAGAAGTGGAACATTCCATTGGCCACATATTGATCCACATCAAGCTGTACTTATAATAAGACAGAAAAAAACATACATCTTATGAGTTAACACTTTCTTTATAATTTGCTTATAATAACAAGAATGTAGAAACAGGGAGTTCAATTACCTACATACCTGCTCCAATTCTGAGCTAGCATCTTCTTTTAGTTTACGTTTATGGGAATTACACTTACCTCATTCAAGTTCAATAGAACCCCCCTGTATTTTGGTAGAGTCTCTAGTCTATGCTGTTTAAAGATTTTTTTTTTAGTTTTGGTTATGCCTTCTTTTCAGGAAGATCATGTTTGCCTTTTCCGGTTGAAAAATCCGTCATCTAATCATTTTATTGTATGTCCTCTGTCTGTCTTCTTTCTTACTATCATTTCACATACCTCCTGCTATTCTCTTCTGTGAGCCTTCTCTAGTGGCATCACATTCCTTCATGAGATTTAATGACAAGAACTATGGAAAACATCTCAGAAGGACACACCATAGTGTTAAACAAACACTGGTGACTATACATATATGTATATAAAATTATAAATATATAGTCCCCTCCTCATCCTTATCCTCCCTTTCCTCCTCTTCCCTTTCCTCCTTCTGTTTCTCCTCTTCTTGTCCCTCCTTCTCCTCTTCCTCCACACATGTCATTTGTTGATTTTTTTTGATTGACTGGACCAAGTTCATTAGGAAAAAAAAATTCCTCATGGGTTATAACTGAAGAATTAATAGTATTTATTTCATACAATTTAGATTAAATTTTTTCTAGATTCATTTTATTGTACTTGTTCATAATGAAACACACACACCACTATTCTGCCAACCCATAAACTTTCTGATACTTTAGCACCATCAGTTCAGGTTTTTGCTACCTAGAGTAGTTTAATATTAGCTGTAAATACGGAGACTGTCTGTGAACCCTCTCCTCAAAATCTTTAGTAATAATTTTAAACAAGGTAGTCACTAATCTTGAAAATCACCATGTTTTGTTCTTCATCAAAAAATGTGTTCTTTTACCTGTATTCTGTATTTCTTAGAATGGTACTAATTCATGGCAAAAGTGTCCCTTGATTTAAATACTATCTCAACTTTAGAAGGCCTTTGTCAGGAAATTTAGACAAAAATTTGATGAAATTCTAAGTAGAACAAAGTCTTCAACTTTTGTGTTGGTGTGAGATAGGGTCTTACTCTGTGACACAAGTTGGAGTGTCGTGGTGTGATCTTGGCTCACTGCAACCTCCACTTCCCAGGCTCATGCAATCCTCCCACCTTAGCCTCCCGAGTAGCTGGGACTACAGGTATGTGCCATCACTCCCGGCTAATTTTTTGCATTTTTGGTAGAGATGGGGTTTTGCCATATTGCTCAGGCTAATCTCGAACTCCCGTGCTCAGGTAGTCCACCCGCGCTCAGGTAGTCCACCCACGCTCAGGTAGTCCACCCGCCTTGGTTTCCCAAAGTGCTAGGATTACAGGCGTGAGCCACCATGTCTGGCCTACTCTTCAACTTCTTATTAATTGCTTTTCCATTTGTCTGTGGATAAAGTCCTAATTTATTAGCTAGACATAATAGACCTTGCTGAAACCTAATGAATAATATTTACGTGTTCTTGATCATATTTTTCCAGCCTAAATAATTCTGGAATTGTTATAAGCACACTTATTTGTAATTTCCCAGGTTCCTCCTAGCATCCCATATGCCAGTCTTCTAATACAGTAGATATTATTGTATATTTGGGCTTTTTCTAAAAGTAGCTTCTTAAATTAACTAGGCTATCATTAGAATTGGCCCTATAATATAGATCTTTGAGATGTCCATGTCATGAGGCAATTTGAGAGAAACTTCTTAATAAACACAAGTAAAGAATTAGTTCTCAGTCTGTCAGCAATTCTGTTTCTGCTTTTGAGGACCAGGTCAACAAGCTGTGAGGTTTCATTAATTCTCTAGATGGTGTTCTCCCTATGAAATGAATCGCTTTTATTCTTTAATTGCTTTGAGATTTCTTGAAATGAAATCTTCTAAGTTTTCTTGGTGGGAGTACATGCCTAGTGAACCATCACACATTAGGCCTTGAAAATTTTAAGGTATTTTGCACTTTCAGAAAATATTAACAGAGAGCACTGTTTTTCTGTGTGTAGGCATCTCGGGGTCTCATTTCATACTATCTAGACACTGTTGAATGTTAACTGACTAGCTAAATGAGCATTCAATACTTACTTCCTTTTAAAGTTCCAAATGACCAATGAATGTTCAAAACTGACCAGCTCATGTATTTTCACTTCCATAGATTAAATTAGACACAAAGTAGCCTGTGTCTAATCACTCATGACTGCTTTCTAATGTGTGTTCAACGTCATTTTGAGAAGAGCATGAAACGGTATATCAATATGCTTACCCCATCCAAGGCACAAAAAGCGTTTTCTTATAAGCCGTGTCCTAATTTTTCCAGTTACAGCCATATATGATTGCCACGCCTCAGTCAAAACCCAACAGAATGAAGCCAGGAAGAAAAAGTGCAAAAATGCAGTGGTGGTTGTGCAGATACTCTGTGGAAACAAACAAACAAAAAGACTCACACTGAACCTGGGAGAGGGAAAATGATATGTTCTTCAGGGGATTGTTAATCTCTGATTCATTGCTTTTATTTCAAATATCTACTTCTCCTCAGTGACAAGAGTAATTATTTACAGAAATTATAAACCCTATAGTCTTTATGCTCTATACAGTATTTACAATGGAAAAAAAAAGTCTAATTTCATTTTTGCACTTAATTTTTTATGAGAAGAACCCTGAATGTAAATTTGAACTCAAGGGAGATTAAAATTATTGTTTTACTTGAATTTTTAAAACATAATTATGAAAATTCTCTTTTCTTTGATTTAATTTGTTACAGACATCTTGCATAATTAGTTTGGCTACATTCTTTATTCTTCCCTTTTAACAGATAATCGTTCTTTGTTGTTTTATCTGTGTTGATGTTAAAATTATATCTGTAAGAGTAACAGCCTTTCAAAAGAAAAAGATTAGTTTGCTCTTATACATGCATGATATTCAAGGTGTAACAGCAAAGTACAAAATGAGGTTTGGCTAATAACATAGTACAAAAATAAAATATGTATTTTAAAGTACTTAATACAATGCTTCTATACTATTACTTTGCAATGTGTGTCCTCATCAAGTAATTTTGAAAAGCTAATCATGTCACCAGCAGTACAGGGCTAAGATTTTATAGATATTTTTCTTCACGTAACTTAATCACCTTGAATGTGCTTATCATTAGTTGTGACTCATCAGCAAAAGATCAGCAGCTTCATTTTGGTAAAGGTTGCTACTTTTTTCACTGTTGGTATAATTGCTTTATAAATCTTGTTGAAATGCAAGTCTTTATAAACCAGAACCAACAACAGGACTAATTTGTTCTTTTGTCAGTCATTCTCAGTCTTACCATTTTTAAAAACGGAAAATGGCAAAACAAAGACAGTAGAATTTTAAAAATTGTAAAAAAAACCAATACAAAGAAATAAAACTATAACCCATATCTTCTCATCTCTACCACCATCCACTGCTAATGCAGAATATCTTACTAGAATTTTTTGGCCCAAATTATTCATAGGATTTGTTAATTTTATTAAATTTCACCAGATGTTGACTTAGTTCGCCAGTTCTTCTAATCCTATAAAATGAACTTCAGCATGTTTATCCACCAGGTTGTGTAAATGATGACAGATAATGTTAAGAAGCTGAGTAGCACTGTGCTAGGTATACAGCAAGTGCCCAACCAAATATAACTATTATCATCATTATTATAAGCAGTAGTAAAACAAAACAATTTTTCAGCATGTGAATCTTTGTTTCATGTAGTACTTAAACCTATTTAGTACTTGTTTCTGCTTATAAAAATGATAAAATCATGGAATACTTGAAAACTTCCTCATACCTATACTCTAGTCTCAGGTATAATGCAGTAGCTTTAACCAATTGTAATTCCTCCTATTCTTGACACATTAAGACTTTTATTTTTTCCAATTTACGGTTTAAATATCTGCAGGCTGACTAGTTTGCTTATTTTTGATCTATAGTCACCAATCCATTTGAATTCCAAAGACAACTCTTCCACTTGCTATCCAAAGACTAGATAACCTTTCTAAGTCATTAGTTACCCTTTCATTTTCCTCCACGTTTGTTTCAACTAAATTGTATGCACTAGCAAAGCTAGTCCATCTCTATTTTTAAACTGTCAATAAAGAGTTATACCAAACTGTAAATATGTTGAAATGTTAGACCCTAAGTGTTGGTGTACTGAAATTTTATAAGAAATAATGACATGTTCAATGTCTGAGTACAGAGATTTTAACATTTACTTTCTGTATATTGTGTTCATTACTTCACATCTCCCTGGTATTCACTTTAATTCTAATACAAATTGAAGCACATGTAATTTTGAGCCACTGACATTTATTTCAATAATCATGCCTCTTCGTACAATAATATGGTCACAGACTATGGGGAAATGTGTTGTAGCTAAAGAAATAAGGCCTATGTCTTCAGACAATAGTATTCTACAATAGCTGGATAAACTATTTATCCTTAAATTGCTCCAAGTATGGAGGTAAGCTATCTCAACTTAAGGAATGTGTACATGTGGACTAAAGAGGTTTAAGTCGCAAAACTAACCATATATAAAGAGCATCGCAAAAACTATGATCTTGAAAAATAGAAAAAAAGGAGCTACACTTTGCTTCAGCATGTGAAGAATTAGTATAAAATCAAACACTCGGCCAACAAGTGTATGAAAAATGCTCAACATCACTGACCATTAAGAGAAATGCAGATCAAAACAATAGTGAGTGAGATACCATCTCATATCAGTCAGAATGGCTATTAGTAAAAAGCCAAAAAGTGACAAATGCTGCTGAGGTTGTGCAGAAAAAGGAAGGTTTATATACTGTTGGTGGAATTGTAAATGGTTCAGCCATTGTTGAAGACAGTGTGGCGATTCCTCAGAGACCTAAAGACAGAAATATCACTTGACCCAGCAATCCCATTACTGGGTATATACCGAACAGAATATAAATTTTTCTATTATAAAGACACATTCAGGTGTATGTTCATGGCAGCAGTATTCATAATAGAAAAGAAACGGAATCAACCCAAATGCCCAACAATGATAGACTGAATAAAGAAAATATGGTACATATGCAACATGGAATACTATGCAGCCATAAAAAAGAATGAGATCATATCCTTTGCAGGAACATGGATGGAGGTGGAGGCCATTATTCTTAGCAAACTAAGGAACAGAAAACCAAATATTGCATGTTTTCACTTATAAGTGGGAGCTAAATGATGAGAACACATGGACACACAGAGGAGAACAACAGACACTGGGGCCTATCGAAGGGTGGAGGGAGGGAGAAAGGAGATCAGGAAAAATAACTAATTGGTACTAGGCTTAATACCTAAGTGATAAATAATCTGTACAACCAGACTCCATAACACCCATTTACCTACGTAACAAACATCCACATGTACCCCTGAACTTAAAAGTTAAAAGAAAATCAAACACTCCATACAAGGAAACACACACTGATTTTTCTACTTATATGTCATATTGGCTAAGTTGCAAAAGTCTTTACAATATAACTTTTATGAATAGCAATTTTCAAATGAACTTTATTATTTTCCACAAATGACACATCAGCTTCCATAAAACTGGCCTTTCTAGTGTTCAGGTCTCAGGATTGTTTGATCTCTTTTCTTACATAACCCAAATCCACATCAGTAAGCCCCCAGTGATCAATCATCCCTTAGATCCCCTCAGTACTAGGGTTTTTTCACTTACAAGCCTCAAATCCTGAATCTCCTTTTCCATGACGAGGTTCATATCTTGGCAACTGTTCAATTATCACTATCACTGGACTCACTATTTTGAACTTTGGTCCTACAGTTTTTCTTTATTCAAATGTCTCCATGTGTCGACTTCCACTATGGCTAAGCCTCACAGTTCACCTTTCCAAATGTGAGACTCACTAGCATTTCAAGTTCATCATTCAATTCTTCTGATTTTCCTGCCTTGCCAAACCCCTAACTGGTCTCATCAGTGTCACAGCTGATGAATGTTATTGGCAAACATTTCAAAACTTGAAAATGGATTTAAGTTGTCAAACTGAGCACTGTTTTTACCTAACACTCTCATGTACATCCTTCACACCAAATTCCTAGACACAATAGAAGAGATTGCTTAAAATAACAGGAAAAAATAAGAAGTGTTAACTGTGATGGACTAGAGACTGTGAGAAATTCCTTGAAAACAAAAGTATATAAAGAACAAATTGACAATATGTACCATAGCCCAAAATTAGGTATTGGGAGCAGGAATGAAGACATGGGAAGTAGAAAGGTCATAATGCATGGATGACACAGAAGTTCTGAAGTCTATTTAAAAGTATTTCCAGAAGGCAGAAATCAGGAAATTTGGGGGAAAGGTAGCATTTAAAGATATATTACAGAAAATTTTCTCAAAACACTGTAAAAATTCTCCCGGCGTAGGAGAGACTAAAGATACACACACACACACACACACACACACACATACACACATGCACAAGCACATATACTTTGATGAAATCTTTGAAAACAGAGAATAAAGAGAAAAATCTTAAAAGCTATCAGAGTAAAAAGAAAGATATTGACGAAGAAATCAGAATCAGATTGACATCAGGTTCTTTGCAAGCAACCCAGGGTACAAGAAGGCAGTAGAAAGAGATTCTCAACATTCTAAGAGAAAGTAACTTTGAAGATAGAATTCTACACCCAGCCAAGCCACTGTTCAAGAGAGAGGCATAAAGAAAGATATTTTTTAAATTGGAAGAAATTTTGAAGTTAATTACCTCAAGATCCTCTTTGAAAGAATTGCTAGACAATATAAACCACTAACAATAAGAAGTCCAAGAGGAGGGAATAAGATAAAAGAACTGATGGATAGCAAAGAAAGTGGTAAGTCTCCATGTCTAACAAAGCTGCACATGTACCCCCGGAACTTAAAATAATAGTTAAAAATAAATAAATACATAAATAGTTTAAAAAAGAAAATAATAAGTCTAAATAAATGTTTATTTTACATAAATTTATATAATTTTAAAAATATAGCCATGAAGATATAAAATTGAAAATAATATCAGGAAGGGTTCAAAGATGGGAGAGATTAGAGTTGCAAGGGAGTAGAGGAACATAAAAGTATTCTAAACCTCTTTTTTAAGATGTTCTCAGGGATGAGATACTGATTAATTCTAGATTATAGAAAAATACGCTTGAACATTTATGTTAATGGTTCAGTAACCACAAAAAATAATAACAATACATTTGTAAAATAGCAGAAAAAATTGAACTAAGAAAAATCTATCTGTTCAATTAAAGGTAAGCAAGAGGACAACAAACTAGAAAACATGAGAAATAGAAAATAAAGTAAGGAAATAAACTAATTCCAAACATCAAAAATCACAATAAATGGTAATACTTTGTATTTACTTGTTAAAAGCTAGAAACTTTCATATTGGATGAAAAAAGTCTAATTCCAGTAATGTAATTATGTGACATACTTCAAACCCAAAGACTGACACAGGAAAATAGAGAACAGAGATGAAAAGAGCTAGCTTATGCAAATACTAACATGTAAAAACCAGATGTCACAATGTTAGTATTGGGAGAAAAATAAAAAAGATGAAGAGGGACTTTTCATACTAATAAAAGGAGCAAGGCACAAAGAAGATACAGAAGGAACACATCTTTATAAAAACAATAATAATTTTTCAAAGTATATGAAGCAAAAACTGAGAAAACTGCAAGGATGAACTGTCAAACTAAAATTATAATGATGAACCTAACATACAGCTCTCAGAAAGTAACCAAAAATGGAGGAAATAATAATATTGATGATTATAATGCAATAAATAAAAGTGGTTAACATTCTTTCTTTGTAATATTGTACATAAAAAAACAGAGCATGTCTAGATTTTTAATATACAAATGGAACCTCTTAGGATAGAAAGTGAAATAAAATAAATTCAAGAAGTTTATAATACACAGGACATTTTCACAGACCACAATTTAATAAAATTAGAAATCAAAATTAAAATTCTGCACCTTTTGGAGGAAAAAGCTTTTAAATAATCAATTAAAGAGAAACTAAAACTCTAAATTATAAACTATTTAGAACTGAATAACAATTATGGCAGCATATATATGAAAACTTGTGAAATTTTGCTATGATAATAGAATATTTTTAGACTTAAATAGATAGAAAACAAGAGAAAGATGAAAATTAGTGGGCTACTTAAAGAAATCAAGAGGAATAGATTTTAAAAAGATAAAATCGGAAATTAACAAACCAGAAAATTTGAAGAACAGTAAAATTCATCTATAAAGACAAAGCTGACTCTGAAAGACCAATAAAGCAGCGAAACCTTGGCCATTGTGATGATATTTAAAGGTGAGAGAAAAAGCAAAATAAATAAGTTTAGGAATGAAAATAGTTATACATACATATATATATATATACAGTTATACATATTATATATATATACACACACCCTTGACAAGCTACATAAAATGGACGTTTTTCTAGTAAAACATAAATTATGAGAGATAAAACTAATAACAGATAAAATGGAGTCATAATGGAAGAAGTAGTCCTTCAAAAAAAGTAGAAATTCAGTATCATTTTCAGTATCATTTCAGTATCATTTTCCATACACCAACAGGCAAATTCTAACAAATGTAAGCAACATCCAAATTCACATTACCATTTCCGGGTCAAAGAGAAAGATTAGAAGTATCCAACTCATTTTTTAAAGAGGCTAGCATGACATTGATATCGAAATGAGCAAGAAAGCTGTAAGCCACTTCCACTTACAAACATAAATGTGAAATTACAAAATAAAAGATTATGTCTAGAAATACAGTAAAAGGATAATAAATCAGTATCAAATCAGAGTGGGTCCAGTAATGCAGGGTGACTCAACATCAAAAATGACCTCCCCATAATTTATTACATCAACAGATTAAAGAAGAGAAATCATATGGTCACATTAATAAACGTGAAAGCATTTGATATAATTCAGAACCCAAATAATAATTTTAAAAAATGTTATTTGGAAATTATATATTGAAGTGAACATTCTTGGTTAATAAAGATCATCTTTTGAAATCTTGTACTGAAAATCATCTGTAATAGTAAAATACTAGATTAATGTCCATCAGTCATGAAAAAAAGGAAGATGTCTACCATCACTTCTATTATTCTAAGTTGTACAAGAGTTTCTCACGAAAACAATACAAGAAAAGACAAAAATAAAGATACACATTGTTGTCATTGCAGATAATATATCTCCTTATTAGAAAATCCAAAAATAATCAATTTTTAAACTATTAGAAATAGTAAAAAGAATCAACGGGCTAGTTGGATGCAAGATCAACATATAAAATTTTATTTCCTATACACTGAGATCAATAAACTAATCTAAGTTTTCTATATTAGCAACAATGTCATTTGGAAAATGTAGTCCAAAATTTTTAATTAAACATTACCGATTTGTCTTCTACCTCCCAAACCACACTAAAATGACCAAATTATTAAGTCACAAAGAAAAAATAATAGGCAGTAGACACCATGAACTCAAGGTGTTGACAAATTCAGAAGATTCTGAGGAAAGAAGGTTTAACTGACAAAGAGTGGTAGAGAAAGTTATAGCCTACCTGCTTATAGGGTGGCAGGGCAGGGCGTGGGTAATAGAAATGTTGTTTGTAATAAAGCTTATTCACTCTGTGGACTTTCTGAATGTGGGGACCAGAAACAGAAGGCTTACGCAGTTTTATATGGGGCTGAAAAAGAATGGTTGGTTGAAAAATCGACGTACAGAATAGCTGAAACTTTGTGTTTCCTTCTCTAGCCAACACAGCTCAGCATTGTCACAGGGAAGATTAGTTTCTGGAGAAATCAAATGGGTTGGTTTCTGAAGTCAGATACCAATCTCACTAGTGGATAGGTGTACAAGCAGGAACAAGTGTATGTATTAAACCATAAGACCCTCCTCCTCTCCTTTCTCCTTCACCTCTACTTTCAGAATGTCAGAGATTAATATTCTCCCCCAAAGGGAAAAAACTCTCATATACTGGTTCATCTTTGATGTACGTACTGTGAAGGCTACCTTTCAAAAGCCCACTCACCCATGCAGAGAGAGTGATAAATTTTTACAAATAAATATGCTTTTTAATCCACAATAAATATTATAATAAAACTTGATTCATTTGTATAAATACATACACCTATGTAACTGTAATCAAGATAAAAATTTAGAACATCTCCATCCTGCCAGTCCCAAAGCTTCCCAAAGATAACCACTATTCTCACATCTAATATCAAAAAATAGTAACTACGCTTGATTCCATATTTAGTATCTCTACATTCTCTTCCTTTAGTTATCTTATGTATTCACTCTCTTAGCCTACGAATCTGTTTAAGTTTCTATGTTCAACCAACCAACCAACCAACCGTCCAGTATTCTGGTTTGTTTTCACTGGTTCTCATTGGTTTATTCTCTCTCTTTTCTCCAATTGTGGTCAAACTTCTTGAAAGATTAAGCCACACTTCAACTTCTATATTACCTGCTCTCCTCTTTTCTTCTTGCCGTCTAGCATCTCCCCTAAGCTTTTATCCCACAGGGATCACCCATGACCTCCTAATTTCCAAAGCTAATTAATAGGATGTTTTCAGCAGGCCACAAAAACTTTGGACCTCAATATTTTCACTTACAAATTATGGGAGTTTTATTATACAGTTGTGAAAGGCTTTCCTAGATCTAAAATTCTACAATAACAAGAATTCTCTAATTAAAGCCCTCATCAGGCTATTCACTTTTTAAATTAATTTTGAAAATTTGTGTTTTCTTAGGAAATTATCCACTTCACTTATATATCTCAATGTGTCAATATATGATTGTGTGTAATGTTCTCTCATACCTTTTAAGAAATACATTTTTCCTTTTCTAATGTTACTTGTCTATGTTTCCTATTTTCCATCAGTCTGTCTTATTAAATTTTTCAAACATTACTCTTTAATTTCACTTTGAAAAAATATTATTTTATTATTACAGTGATGAGTTTCTTAGAGTATGAAATATAACTATTTACTGCTTTTTGCTTGGCAAGGTTTCAATAATTTCAGAAAAATATACATAATACTATATTTACTTTATTTCCAACACTCAAATAAATGAGCTAAAGGTGTTAGCATCTTAAAAATAAGCAGTATTAGATACACATCTTGTAAGTTTTTCAAAAAGCAAAAGAGAACATGTTTGTTATGACAGAAAGATTATATAAAAAAATTAATGGGATATAAAATATAGAGAATTGTGCTATTGCTAGAAAAAATGAAAAACAGAATACTGAAGCGAAGCACTTCAGTATACTATTTAGAAACCCTTAAAGAGTATCAATATTTGCACACTGTAATTACAGTATTTATGAAGAAATCAATAATTATTTGCAATTATAGTAACATTTCAACAATATAAGACAAACTAAACTAATTCCTACATATAAAGCAATTATTATTTGTTTAGATAATTTCATCAATTCACATCCTGATTTGCCTATAATAAATAAATTAAGAATACATATATCTTGCTATTCACATGGAATAAAATATGTACAAGGCATTTACAATATAATTCTGGACACACCGGTAACTGCTTACTCATTAATTATGCTATGGAAAGAAATTTTGGTGACGACCACAGTGATTTCAAAGGCAGTTCTTTAAAAGCTGCACTAATAACTGCATATTTACATTATTCAGAAGACCACAGTTCTTGCAGACTAAAAATAAATTATTATGAAGATGAAATAAGATAATGGCTAAAACAGGGATTTGCACAAAGGTAATACATAACTTTACACATAGTAAGTGCTTGATAAATGATAGTTTTTATTTGGCAAAATAAGCACATTTGAAGATGTTTGACTGCATCTTAAAACATGATGAGAAAACTAACTTATAAGCACCTACTCTGCTTAAACGTTAATTTTGAAGCAATGCTGTAGAGGAAATATTTTACAAAGGAGAAAATGAAGCTCAGAGAGTTTAAATAACTTGTCTGAAGTTATACACTCAGCAAATAAAGAAGCACATGTGCTCTTTCCACTATAACATGTTGCCTTGTGCTTTAAAGGGTTCTCATTTTCTAATATTAATTTTCTAATGACTATCCATATTCTTTAACAGTACTGTTATTCTTTTTCAAATAAAAAGTATGTGTGTGACAAATAAATAGATGTTATAATAAATAAACAAAAATTATATTAAATCATGAGCCTTTATTGTTCAAATCACCACCAACTAAAACAGAGAAATGCACCATTTCCAAAACCATTTCCAAATATATTTTTGGTTATATAAACTCCATCAACACGTGCAAATTGAGGTTACCTGGATAAAGCACCTCAACTAATGAAATGAGTCACTAAAACCAATAGGCATTGTGAAGACAAGGTTCATTTCATAAAATTAAATGAAAAATTTGGTGGCAATAAAAATAGAATCAGAAGCCTTTTGTTATTATCACTTCACCTAACCTCCCTTTTTCCACAGCTGCTATGACATGCTACATTGACAGCAGTGTCATTTGTAAACAGCTGAAAAACCTCTCTCATAGACCCAAGTACTTGGCCCATGCTTTCTTTCCCTTGGATGTTATGGAAAATATCAGTAGAAAAGATATGATGGATTTTAGTTCTTTCTTGAAAACTCTTGGTTCATCATTAAATACAAGTTACAGTACTTGCTTACAAGGTATGGCACAAGGTTATGATGAGGAAACATCATCTCTTCAACCCTTTACACAACCTTCAATTTGTGAAAATTTTGAAGCAGGTTATTTTCTACATAATTAAAATATCTGTTACAAGACTAACTCTGAACAGAAGAAACTGTCAATATAAAGTTATGTGAGATACAAAATGACTGATGAATGAGGGAGCAATAAAAGCAATTTCTAAATGTGAGTATCTCAAACAATAACTATCATTTGCTAAATTTTTATAATTTCATATTCATATAAAGCATCACTATTAAAAAGAAAGAAAGTGTTAGATATATGTCAGCAGAGAAAAAAATCTGTTCCACAGATGTCATCTAGTGGAAAACATGTTCATAATTTGAAGATCTTGGAAAGTTTGTCACACATAACAGGAAAATCTGATTTTTTGAAATGTGAGCTGTGGGAATTCAAACACTTGTACATCATACACAGCAGATGCTTCATTATATACTGTTATCTCCAGGCTTAAAAAAATAACAATTTTATTCAAAATGAAATATAATTAAGTCACTTGTTAAATAAGGCCAAGAATTCAACGAAAGCTTTACTAATAATTTAGAAACTTCAAAATGCTAAGACAGTGGTTGTTCATAAAAAGGAAGCATTTTCTCTTAGATGTCTGGAGAGACCAGAGTAAAGTGTTAAATGTTCTCACCACAGAAATGATAACTATGTGAGGTAATGCCTATGTTAATTGGCTAGATGTAACCATTCTACAATGTATATGTATTTCAAAACATCATGTTGTACATGATAAATACATACAATTTTATCTGTCAATTTAAATAAATAAGCAAAGGGTAAAAACCATGTTGTAAACTGTAAGATAGAAACTGATTTACACTATGTTCTTTATCTGTAGAGGAAATCCTTTTTCAGTAGGTTTGTGCCCTCAGGTGTGTTTAGATATCCTTTCCCAGCTTGCAAGCACCATATATAGGCACTCAAAACCAAGGATAATAATAATGCAAATATAAAATTGCTTTCAACTTGCAACAAGCAAAGCAAACAAAATCTTGCAGCCCTGATGCTGAGATTCCTAGGCCTTGAAAATATTTCTTGTATAACTTTGAAGGCAGAAGAGGATAATGCTTTCCTATCAAGAAGACATTTATTTATTCTGTTTATCATGTTTGATCAATGGTCTTGTTGGTATAACAGAACTATTTCAATGTGGAATGAAAACAATTTTTGATTTAGGGGCATCCTGGTATAAAAAGATCATAGGTTTTTGAGTCAAGCTAGTATTTCCCAACGTTGGCTGCACATTGGTATCACCTGGGGTGCTCTAACAACTATGGATCTATTAGTGCTATTCCCTGAGATTCTGATGTAATCTGTCTAGGGCGAAGCCCAAGCATAGAATTGCTAAGGTGCCTCAGGTGATTCTAATGTGCATCCAGGATTTAGAATAAGCAATTCAGACAGTCATGGACTGACTGCTGGTAACTAAAGCTACCAAATGTGTGACCTTGTGCAAATTATCAAACTTTTCACACCCTCAATCTTTCATTTGTAAGATGGGAATGAAAAATACCTACAATGTAGGATTACTATAAAAATTGCTTATAATAAGTGTAAAGTGTTTAGTTCTTGGCAAATCTCAAAAGTATTAACAACAATAACAATTCATACATATTCTCAACCCGTTACAGTAATTTATCTAGACTTAGGCAGTTCCTAAAGTTCTCAAAAGAATAACACACATGGAACATTCTGCTATGCATTCATGTGTGTAATCTATAATGATATTAGAACTAATATACTTCTTTATAGAACCTGCTATGAAAATGATATCAGATAATTAATATTTAGGATGAACTTTTGAACAATAAAATGTATTTTTTTAAGCAAAAACAAAGTAATGCTGCCATGGTGGGGTGCAGGAAGAAGGCAGGCTATCATTTAATCCTGTCCTCAGACCTCTCTACATACCTAAGAGAAAAATGCCTCCTTTTTTAAACAACCACTACAACTGAATTACACTAAATGACACCACTGGACCTGTTACGGAATTCTAGGTGTGACAATTCATGGAGATTTCAAAGGACTTCTATAAAAAAGTACCAATCAACCCTGAGATTGGTTGATTCCATCTGTGCTTATATTTCAAATCCCTATTTGCCTATCTCTGAGCTATCCAACCTCAGATATTTCAAGCCTACTATCTCCAAAAATGAACTCTGCCTTTCTCCTTAAGGAAGTTCTTCCTTCTGTGTTTGCTATCAGTGAAAGAACATTATCATTCCCACCAGGAACTTGGACATCATCCTTGTATTTCCCTCACATCCAGTCAATCACCAATTCCTATTTGATTGCATCTAATAATGATATAGAAACTCCACTCACTTCTCCATTTTCATGATCCTAGTTGGTGCCATCGCTCACTCTTTCCCAGATTATCAGGGAAAGAGTGAGATTCCTGTGGGGAGTCAGCCCTCTGCTGGCTCCACTTCCATTGGCAGAAGTGAAATGGAAGCTCCACAGGTAGGCATGCTCCTAGTGAGCTCCCCTCACCTTTCTCTAAAGAAGTTGATAAAAGAAAGGTCATAGAATATGTCTGGCATATACTAAGTTCTCAATAATTATGAGCAGTAGTTATCAGTATCTTAAAATTAAAGCTGCAAAAGAGGATGTAGGTATGAGTTTTTTACAATGGGAAATATTAAAACATGTCTAAATACTAAAAGAAGAATCACATGGAGAAATTGATGAATCAGGAGTGAGAGACAATTGATTGCATCAAGTTTTGGAGATGTCGTATGGAAATGAAATCTAAAGCACATGAGAAGGACTGAAATTTAATAAAAAGAAGGGTCCCCTCTTGATTTGAAACAGGTAGAAAGGAAGAAAAACTGGGTGTTGATGTAAATAAATTAGCATATTTTATGGTAGGAAGGTGAGATAATCTCAGTCTGTTATGGCTACTACATTCTTTTTGGAATAACAGTTGGGTCAGATGCAAAAGTTAAAGATGTCCTAGGGAGATCAGAGGTTTGAGTACCTGTGAGCAGACTGGAAATTCTCTTTGCCAAGAATTAAAGAGCTAGATAATGTGGAATTGCTAAGAAGCATTGAAGCCTCTGTTAGCTAAGTGACCGTGTATTTTTACCAGCTCATTACCATCGGAAAAACAGATGACCTATACCACAGACTCCCTTCCAACTCTGAAACCACATATTCCAGTCCTCTGCAACGATACAGAAATACTGGTTTTGCTGTTTTTCTGTTTGGGGTTTTCTCTTGGTTCTTCTTTGAATGCACCATCCCATTTTATGGTTTCATCTCCTTCCCTGTTTGACTTCTTGTGACACACTCCTTGTAACATAAGAATAGACAAAGTAGCTCTATGGAAGCAATTCATGCTATTGCGAGAAGCAAATAAAAATTTCAGTCCACTGGTTAAGAAATACTGAAATCACATTGTAGCAAATCCCTTATTCTGAAGCAAGATTGAAGATACGTCTCAAGCTACCTGTTATTGTTTTAATAGACAATTACCTTTGAAAGTTTGGAACCCTACCAGGTTAGTTTCTCAGTTTCTCAGCATGTGGGAAAAATAACTATGGTCAGGGTACTTTAGTCTATATTGGGCCGAAATTACAGATGGCAAAACCAACTATTTCTAGTAATATTACTTTTATAAGTAATGACTATAAATACATTTTTGGAAGATATTTATCTATTGGAAAAAAATAGCTCAGTCCAGAAAAACTCTAGGAGGTCTTTTTCTTTACCATGGTTTCCTTACAGCTTTTGTCATTGAGAAATTCAGGGTCAAAATACTGAGTATCCAATGTAAGAAAATCCTACATCAGGCAAGTTATAAACATTTCACAGGAACATTTTTAAAGTTATGTAAGTATAAAAACATCTACCGGAAATTATGGCATACACCTGTGTTTAGAATGGATTACTGGAATAAGCAAGGCCAAGAAGATAATAAGAACACTTCCAATTTTGAATTTACATTGCTGTTATGTTTTATATGTTTAAAACATTCTAAAATTACCAATTCCTTTTGTCAGCCCAGAATGTAGCTAAATTTTATTACTATACCTCATTTCTAAATCTGAGTCCTAAAAGGGACTACCATAAAGTTGATTGAAAACAGGAAGTAAGTCAAACACCATTTTACTTAATTTTCACAGCATGAAAAATTAGCAGTATATTACACAATAACCTCTAACTTTGTTTAGAAATGGTGACAGCTGAATCTGTCTTTCTGGGTTGAGCCAAGGATTTATTATTAAGCTCCTTTGGCTTCAGTATGAAATGTCATGCATTATACCATTTCGTCTTATCATATTTAAATTTTCATTTGAAACCAGAAGAGGAAAAAAGTGCCAACAAGAAAAGAGAAGCAAAATCCGAAAGACTATTAAGTCAAAAATAGATCTTACCAAATATTTTAAGTATAGTGTTTTATTCTTATGTCGTGAGTTTAAATTATACAGTTTAAAGTAATGTGGATGAGCTGAGAAACTCCCTTCATTTTTACCCACAAACATAAAAGTTGTGTAGAGGAAGAAGGAGAGATCTGGGCCAAGGTTGAGGAAGACAGGGTGGGGAAGGGTGGAGAAGGAAGGGAAATGTGTTTTTGGGTCTTCTCTGGAGAGCTATAATTTTATTCCCTTCATTTAAAGTGGATGAAAATTATTCTTCTCACCCCACCTCCAGCCTTGCCTACTTATCTTCTTTTCCACACATTTTTGCCTTCAGAGGTGAAGCGTGGCAGTAGTCAAAGTTAGTATTGGAGCAAGAAAGAGAGAAGAAAGAGAATTCAATTACGTCTAACAAATTGTCCTCCCTCTATGACCACATGCATTAATGCCAGAATTCCACAGGGAAGAGAACCCTTGATACATAATCTACTTGATTCAAATGAACCAAATACCATATAAATAACTGAATACTTTAAAATCAAGTTAATATTATATAAATAATATCTGTCTTTGTCTAAGCCCTACTTATCTATCTTATTCAATTCAGCTTGAATATACTAAGTGTATATTTCAAAGAGAAATCAGATTATGATTCACATTCAGTTCTCAATTACAGCCTCTCAATGCATGAAATATTCCCTTGTAATAAATGAAGCACTTTGAGAGGAAGATGCATTCTTCCAGGGTTCTAGGATGCAATTTAATGCATGACTACGGCAAATAAGGATTGCATCTCATAATAATACAACACTTACTTTTTTCTCCCATGAATTCAAAATCACTTTGTCTTGTATCATCACATTATCTGTTGAAAATTCTCATTTTTATTCTTATCTCGCAGAATATAGCTTCTAAGAAGAAAATTGTTTCCTTCTTTTAGGTCCAGTGGAATATCTGACATGTAGGTTTTATCCAATAAATATTTGTTGTGTGAAAAGAAAATAACTCTGTTATAAATAATATCAATGGGAATTTTGTTTCAATATACATGCTCTTGCTTACTGGTAATTAAGTGAGGGGAGTTCACCAATCACTGTTGTTGTGGAGATGACTGGCTTCCCTCAATATTTGTTCTTTCCTTGTTCTCATAACAGAACTGTAACAAATATGATGTTGGCACATGGGGCACCAGAATAAAGAATGGATTTCCCAACTTTGGTTTTAGCTGAGGTCATATGATTAAGTTCCTGCCAATGAAAGGTAAGCAAGAATAGTGTGTAAAACTTTGGATAATATTCTTTTTCTATTTTCCTCCTTGTTGTCAGCTGGAATGTTTACACGATGGCTGGAGCAGGAGCAGCCATCTTGAATCTTGAGGTAGACATTGAAAATTTAGTATGGCAGAAAAAAAAATCAGTTAGAAGGAAATTAGTTCCTAATGATCAGGAGCTACCCACATTTATGTGAGAATGAAATAAACCTTTATTTTTTCTTTACCACTCTTTTATCTTTTCTATGTTACTCTTCTTTCGCATTTTCCTACAACTAACAGTCAAAATTAAACCTAAATATTACCTTTGGTATTAATACACAGAAGACAGACACATATTATTATGCTTTTAGTTGATAAACTATCATATGCTGTGCTTAGGAAATGCAAAGTACGAACCAACTGGAATAAATTATATTGATTTCCCTGCTCTGAAATTAATCCAAATATTTATACTTCATTTAATGAACTCTGAACCATATCTTCCTCAATTCCTCCATATCTCCCTTAACTTAGCAATAAACGATATTTGTAAACTGTGGTGGATTTTACATAGTATTTAATACCTAGTACCTCATTTGATCCTTGTGCTAAACAGGAAAGGTAAGTGTAATTACTATTATTTAGATTTCACTATGAATAAAACATGTCCAGTGAGACTAGATAACCTTCCCAAAGTCACTCTGTAGAGGCAGAGCCAGGACTCAAACTCACGCAGTTTGATTTATTCCAGGTCTCATTTCCTTTGTTTTATACCAAATGGTCTTAGTGGATCTGCTTAAATTGAAAAAAGTCTATATCTTCTCAAATTCTTAAGCTGGAGCAGATCTTAGACATCTAAAACTTCTTACTAACAAAATTCTCACCTTTTTCTTTGCTGCCTTTCTGGCATATTCATGTCTAGATTCCTAGGCTTCATGTTGTCTAGGTATAACATTGTCACCAGAATTTACTCTTGAGTTTTACATTTAATACATAACTTGAATCGAACCACCTCATCCATTTATATGAGAATGGGGACTCTGTGGAAAAGATGGAGTCACATTTGTGCCAGTCACACCCTTTAGCCATTTGCCTAATTCTTCCACAGAGATGCCCAGTCAGCCTAGGCTACTGCAGTAAACTAGATAACTAGACATGTGATTCTTCTGGTGTCTTCATTAAAGATCTTGAACCCAAGACATGGGAGGGCTCAGGAGAAAAAAAAAGTCCTACCTTTTGTAGTACAAATTTTTAAAACTGAAAAAATAAAAAGAAGAAGAGATATTTGAAAGGAATACAGAGAAACAGGTAAATCAAGACAAGACCTGGTCAAGCCCAGAATTTCCAAAAGTGTCACAGAAAGGTGAAGAAAAGAAATATAGGAGCTATGCTTATAATGAAACTTTTCCTTGTTTGTTATTTCAAATAAGATATTGCAAGAACTCAAAATGTACCAATATTGAAATTAGTCAAAAGCCAGAGACTGTGAAATTTCATATTCTAACCTGATTTATATTTAATGTGGAACACGTAAACATAGAAATAATTATCTTTGCTTAAAATACAGCATGTGGCATAAATGTGATTCTGAAATACATAAGAAATTTAACTACAACACATTCTTTAAGTCGGTTGCAATGTGGTTGGTTCTTTAATACTATAACTTTATAGAAGACAATGACATCAGGTAGATTTTTAGAGTCAAATAAAACAGTCAACGAAAAGGAGCAGTTACTGAGAATGCAATGCAACTGTACTTCTTACTCTAGTTTGAAACTAGAATATAAGCATAATTGAGAAAGCAAGAAAGTTGTTGGAAGCAAAAAAAAAAGCTATTTTTATAAATGAAGCTACTATAACGTATTGGGCACAAAACACAGAGAGGGGAGAGTAAGGGTGTAGCAGGCATGTAAACCAGGCATTGCAGGAATTGCAATGCAATGTGTTAGGGGCTATAATAAGAGGCTATGATCTCAAGGTAAATAGGAACAAATATGATGAAATACACTGAGAAATCTTGCTTGCTCTCTTAAATCTGTGATACACCTTTTCATGTTCCAATGGGCCCTGTCCTCTCCCATAAATACCATTAGTACATTTCACACTGTATTATCACAGTTTTTTAAATTGTTTGTCCACACTCCTCACTCCCCACCACATACAAATTAGGAATTAAATACTAAAGGCAGACTTTCCATTTGCCATTATTGTGGTCACTGTTCATTGTAATCTCAGAATTAGGTAGTGAGTATGACCTGTAGTCAGAAATAAAAACACTTACTTGCTAAGCAAATGAGTAAACTGCTGGCTAAATGTGCACTTTCTATCTTTGTATTGCAGTATTTATAGTTATTGATGTACCTGGCTTATCTCCCTTTATGTAAGCTTCCCAAGAAAGATCTATTTCCAGTTTATTTCTCTATGTGTTATTGTGCCTAGTACATAGGTTATCAACTTAATGAATCCATGATTTAGGAAGTTTTCTTATTTTTTCTATTAATGAGAAGAGGCAACACATTATGCTATGTATGACAGAGATTGAAGACTTTGAATTAAAGGCAAAACAAGAGAAAAATGTTAGTGGTCTTGATTTTTAAGAAGTTACATGTTATATGGCAATATATCGTGACAACATTGGGCTTATGTTGATAATTTTATGATGGTGATGCGTTATTTGTTGACATGTTCTAAATTTCTACAGTATAAGAGAAAATTTGTAGTAACTTACTAACTCCCATCTCACCCCAACACCACATATACAGTTGCTTCCCCCCACCCATGAAGGATTGGTTACTGAACCCTCATGGGTACCCAAATCCAGGGATGCTCAACTCCCTTATATAAAATGGCATAGTATTTGCATATAATCTATGCACATCCTTCCATGTACTTTAAATCATCTTTAGATTACTTACAATATATAATACAATGCCTACACATCACTTAATTCACCTGGATTCAACCTAGTATTCTATGCATGGTAAATTCAAGTTTTGGTTTTTGGAACATTGCAGAATATTTTTCCCAGGGGTATTTTTAATCTTCAGTTTGTTAATCCATGAATGCATAACATATGTATATGGAAGATTGATTGCACTTAGAATCAATGATAATAGAATATTCGAGGGCTTAAACAGTAAGAGAAGGCTCTGTGGTCACAAAAAGAGCCCAGTGTGGATTATTTCCATGAGCCTGAGTCCAGGTAGCCTATTGAGCTAGAGCTCCACAAACGTCACCATGGCTGTAGGTCTGGTCCCTGTGTTGACTCTTTGCTTTCACTGTGTTTTTTCTCCCCCACTCCCCACCAAGAACTCAGATATACTACTCTTAATTGGTCCCAGAATAAGTGTGAAGGGACTTACATGCAGAAGGGTATAAATCTAATCTTAATCCTAGAAAAAATATTCAAAGTAAGTCAGGATTATCTCCTTCATAGCAGATGGGTGGCAACTTAATATAATGAAAAATTATCTCATGATTCCAACAAAGAAATAATCCACACTGTATAAATCAACAATCTCTATTAGCCAAAAAAGTATATTTTGTCACACAATAATAATCACTGTGAGTAATAACAGCTTTGTGGCACTGTAACAATTTGAACACCATATGATTAACAGAATCAGAAGAATTAACTTTGTGTTAAGTAAATCTGCTTAAGTATATTTAGGATTAGTATAATTCAGGAAAATTACATTTTCAATAATAAAATTCCTATTTGTTTTAAGTGGCTGCCATCTGCCAGGCACTGTGCTAACAGTGTTACCTGTATTATTTCTAGCCTTCACAATAGTCCTTCTAGGAAGAACTACCATGTGTTATTATTACTATATATAGGGGAAGAAAGTGAGGCTCAAATAGAGTAACATATTCATGGTCCCGTAAAATGTAATGAGCCATGCTGAGATTCACACTCAGACATGTTGAGCTCCTTAGTCCATATTCTTATATGACTCTAAACTTCATCCTAAATGTTTGAAAATTACAGATTCATTAATGGTGCACCACAGATTTGGAGACCAGAAAATGCTATTAGCCAGAAACCTTTGCTTGCAAACCATTTAGAAAATAGAAACACTAGTACCTCCCTTGAAAACAAAGAATGCCAATAGAAATAACTACCATTACTCTAGAGACAGATAAACTGAGAAAAGAAAGGTTATGTCTCTGAAGACACAAGTCAGAGAAGGAGTCAAGAATATAATCTATCACCAAGTTCTATACTGTTAACTACTGCATACAATATGGCAAAAACAGAGCAGTAGAAGAAACAATTGGACATATAACTTTGACATACAGAGACTGACAAAATATAACTGTCAAAGAAGCAAAAGGATGACTTACTTATGCTTAATGTAGCTAACTAAAATTAAAACATAAAGAAGACAGAAAATTGCAGCATCTAAGCTATGTAGTTACATTTTAATTAGGATTCTAATTTTACTATATTCTTACTACTAGTAGGCAGACTTTGAGAAATATACAGGAAAGGAGAGAACTTTTAAATTTATGTTTCTCTGCAAGTCTTCAAAGTCCTAGAATCAGGGACTTGAACTTATTGAATGTATTCAGGTCATATGGATGTTATATTTTTGTCTTAATTCTAAGGCTGTAGGAAACAAACGGAGTTTTCCATGATGATTTAATTATTCACTCAATATAATTTTTAGGGGAAAACCTGCAATATCAGCAACCCAAATATTTAAAAAGTCTGAGTTTCTTTACTAGTCAGTTATAAACCAAGAGTGATAAAAATTTTGTTCAACTTGGAAATTAGAAAATAATTATATAACCTCTTTTTTTTAAAAAAAACCCTTGTATTTTGGTTGAAATTTTTGCTTAGAATAAGATTATTGGAAGAAGAAAAAGAGAAAGAAATGATGAAAGCAATTAAAAGTATAAGGTGGTCTTATAATAGACTTGGATCCTTGAGAGCTATTATTTGAATAAAGAGGCTTCGAGTTCTAGAAAGCACTCTGTGGTCAAGGAAAATATCTTTCAGAGAAGAATCATACTTCACAGAAGGTGATTACTATTATGCTACACATGAAATCCTATTTAATTACTAAACCAAATCCCTAACTCTTAAGAAATAAAAGTCACTTTCCCCAGACATTCCACTGAAAACAGAATTCTTTAGAGATAGGTCAGTTTTATGCACAATTTTTAAATAATATCTGTGATTGTGTAGGAGAGAAGACATAGAGTAAAAATGAGCAAAAAATTTTTTTTTTAAGTTTCAGATTAGGCGGACTCTAAAGGGACTGGATGATGTGCAAAGAACTTAATAGATGCCAAAACTGTCAGGAAAAAAATTGCTGAATGTGCGGGAATGCAGGACATAGCCAGCAAGAGGAAGGGTGACCAAGATGGCTTTACTTTCCCTTCAGCCTGAAAAACTTTGAAGTGGAAGTGTCTCATCATAAAGGTCTTCATCCTTGTTGTCTTCCTGTTGAGTAGGCTGAGGAGGAGAAAGAAGAGGGGTTAGTCTTGCTGTGTAAGGGGTGGCCAAGATGGAAGAGGCAGACGAGGTGGAAGGAGAGGCAGGAGAGGCAGGCACACTCGGTGTAACTTTAGGGACATGCATCATAATTTCTGTCTGATTTTTTTCGCTTTTTTATTTCTCTAAAAATGTTCCTATACAGCACCAGTTTTTCTTCCACCATTTGCTTTAGTTTCAGTGTTCATCTCATATAAGGATCCATGTTGTAAAAGAAGCCAAAAGCAGTGTGGAATAATCGAAACTTTCTGCCAAGTTTTGTACTATTAACTGCTACATTCAGTCTGGCAAAATTGTGAAAATAATATCAATTATTGTCTAATGTCAATTTGTTTTCTGGCACTGCTTCTACGTCCTCTTCCTCATTGTCTGGCACTGGTTTGGAAGCACTCATCTCCATCAAGTTGTCTTATGTAATTCCTCTGGAGTGGTGTCTATCAGCTCTGAAATTTCTCCAAGATCCATATCTTGAAATTCTTCACTCTCCACCTGTTTTGCCACATCCAGTCTCTTTCATGATTTCCTTGATTCGCTCTGTCATAAATCCTGTGAAGACTTGTGAAGACATGTGCAATATATGGACACAGTTTTCTCCAGCAGGAGTTTATTGTTTAGAGCTTAATGGTTTTCAAGGATTTTTCTATAAAAATGATGGCATCTTCAATAGCGTAATCCTTCCACACTTTCACGATGTTCTCTCTACAGGGTTCTCTTTCATAAAGTCGACAATCCTTTCCTACAGGGTTCTCTTCTGTAATGTTGAAATCCTTTCCATAGAGTACTGTGTGTAATAGCTTTAAATATTTTTATGACTCTTACATCTAGAGGCTTATTACAGACGTTATGTTTGGGGATGAACAGACCACTTTGATGCCTTCAGTGTTAAACTCATGGAGTTGTGGATGGCCAGGGGTATTGTTCATTGTTCAATATCAGGAGAATTTTAAAAGATAATCCCTTACTGGCAAGGTACTTTCTGACTTCGGGGACAAAACACCAATGAAACCAATCCAGAAAAAAATGTTCTCATTCTCTAGGCCTTCTTCTTACAGAACCAAAAGACCGGCAGCTGGTGTTTATAATTTCCCTTCAAAGTTAGGAAATTAGCAGCTTTATAGAAAGGGCAGTCCTGATCATAAACCTAACTGCATTTGCAATACTGGTGAATTAGCCTATCACTTAGAGCACTTAAAAAGTGCTTGCTTCCTTTCCTTTCTAATATATATCCTTCATGGCATTTTGTTTTTCCAGAATAGGACACTTTCATCTACATTAAAAACCTGTTCAGGCAGATATTCTTTCCTTCAGGGAGTTTTTTCATGGTCTCCAAAAGCTTGTTTGCTGCCTCTTGGTCAGCAGAAGCTGCTTCTGCTATTATCTGGACATTTTTTAAAGCTAAATCTCTTTCTAAAAGCATCAAACCATTCTTTGCTTACATTAAATTATTCAACTTCAGATCCTTCACCTTCTTTTTGCTTTTAGTTGTCATACAATGACTTTGCATTTTCTTGAATTATATTAGAGTCCATAGATGTGCTTTCCTTATAGAAATCCTGCATCTACATAAAAGCTGAATTTTCACTATGAGATTAAAAAATATTTTGTGAAAAACTGATTTTTTTGGTGCCTATTGTCACAGTAGCAGTTTCATGAGTTATTTTCTTTTTCTACAATGGTCATTACTGGGTTTATTTATCTTAAAATAGTGGGCAACCACAGTTACAGACCTCAATCTATGGTACATATCAAGAAATTCAATTTTTCTTGTAATGTCATAACTTTTCTCTTATTCTCCTAGCATCACTAGTGGTGCTTTGTATGGGTCCCATGGTGTTATTCAAGATTTACAATATTGCACTAAACATGATGAAAAATATGCAAGAACCATAAGAAATCACTTTTTTATGCAATATGCAATTTACTTGAGAGATAAAACTAGTTTTCTGAGATGATCAGAGTCACATTCTGTTTTCAGTAGATACTAGTACCACTTGAGCTCACTGCAACAGCAACAGGAGGTGGCTATGCAATTATTACAGTAGCACAGTAGGTAATACAGTTAACTTTTTGCAGTTAGAATTTAATACTGAATACTTATATTTCTCTCGACAGTGAATATAATCTGTGTTTGTATGCATAAGTTTTGATAAATTTAAAAATTGTATAATAGATTTGTGTACATTTTATGGCAGGAGGTGATAACATAGACTAATATCTACATATATTTTGTGAATTCATGACAAAACTAACTTTTTCTTAATACTTTCAATATCTGTAGATTAGGTGGCTCATCTTCAAGTTTGCTCAAATTGTTGCAACTCTCTAATAAATTTTTCCGATATGTTTATTGAAAAAAATCTACTTATAAGTGGACCTGTGCAGTTCCAACTCATGTTGTTCAAGAATCAATTGTATTTTAGAAAACTTACAATTATAAATAAACTCTTCCTACATCTCTGCACCATTGAAATGTAAATCTTCTATAAACCAAGAATGTCCTTCTCAAGGATCTTATCACTTTGAAATGTAATCATCATGATAGTGACAATTCATGAACATGTAATATCTCCTCAATGTTTGTGTCCTCTTCCATATCTTTCATCAATGTTTTATAGTTTTCATGGTAGAGATTTTTCACTTCTTTGTTTAAGTGTATTCCTAGACATTTTGTTAATATTTGTAGCTATTGTAAATTGTATTACATTCTCAGCTTCTTTTTCAGATTGTTTGCCAGTAGCATATGTAAATGCTGCTGGTTTTTAATGTTGCTTTTGTATTCTGCAACTGTACTAAATTTGTTTATCAGTTCTAATAGTTTCTTGGAGTCTTCAGATATTTCTAAATATAAGATGATATAATCTGTTGCAAATAAGGATAATTTGACTTCTTAATTTCCAATTTGGAAGTCCTTTATTTATTTCCCTTTTTTGATTGCTCTTGCTAGGACTTCCAGTCCTATCTTGAATAAAAGTTGTAAAAGTGGGCATACTTGTTTGTTTCATGATCTTAGAGGAAATGCTTCTAGTTTTCCCTTGTTTAGTATGATACTGGCTGTGAATTTTTCATACATGGCCTTTATTGTGTTGGACTATGTTCCTTTTATATCCAGCTTATTGAGAGTTTATCATTACGGAATGTTTAATTTCATTAAATGTTTTCTCTGCATCTATTGAGATGATCATATAGTTTTTGTTATTCATCCTGTTGTGTGATGTATGACATTTATTAATTTGTGTATGTTAAACCATCTTTGTATCCCTGGAATGAATCTCACTTGATTGTGATGAATCATTTTTTAATGTGTTGTTGAATTCAGTTCACTAGTATTTTTGAGAACTTTTGCATCTATAGTCATCAGAGACATTGGTCTGTAGTTTCCTTTTTTTGTAGTCTTTCTCTACTTTTGGTATATTGTTAATATGTCCACACAACTCAAATAAATCTACAGATTCAATGCAATCCCTATTAAAATACCAATGATAGTCTTCATATAAATAGAAAAAGAAATCCTTAAATTTAAATGGAATCACAAAAGACTCAGAATAGTCAAAAAAAATCTGAACAAAAAGAAGAAAGCTGGAGGTATCATGCTACCTGACTTTAAATGACACTACAAAGCTATAGTAACCAAAATATCATAGTACTGACATAAATACAGACACATAGATTAATGAAACAGAATAGAGAAGCTAGATATAAATCCATATATTTAGAGTAAACTCATTTTTGATGGAGTTGCCAAGAACATACAATGGGGAAGGGACAGTTTCTTCAATTAATGGTGCTGGGAAAACTGGATACCCATATGCAGAAGAATGAAACTAGACCCCTATCTCTTGCCATAAACAAAAATCAAATTAAAATGGATCAAATACTTAAATGTAATACCCGAAACTATAGAACTACTGGACATTGCTCTGGGTAAAGATTTCTTGACCTGTAAAGATTTCTTAACACCCTGTAAGTAAGGGCAAATAGACAAATGGGATAACATCAAGCTAAAAAGCTTCTCTAAAGTAAAGGAAACAATTAACAAAGTGAAGAGACAGCTCCCAAAAGAATGGGAGGAAATATTTGCCAACTACCCATACCAGAATGTATAAGGAACTCAAACAACTCAATAGCAAAAACAAAAACAAAAACTAAACAAAACAAAAAACCCAAAAGACAAGATAATCCAATTAAAGTGAAAAAAAAGATGTGAATAGACATTTCTCAAAAGAAACCATAAAAAATGGCCAACAGGCGTATGAAAATCTGCCCAACATTACTAATGATCAGAGAAACACATATCAAAACTACAATAAGATATCATCTCACCCCAGTTAAAATGTCTTTTATCCAAAAGACAGGCAATAATGAATGCTGGTGAGGATGTGGAGAAAGGGAATCTTCTTAAAGTGTTATTGGGAGTGTAAATTCGTGCAGCCACTGTGGAGAACAGTATGGGGGCCCCTTAAAAAACTAAAAATAGAACTACCATATGATCCAGCAATCCAACTGCTGGGTGTATATTCAAAAGAAAGGAAAACAGTATATGGAAGAGATATCTGAGCTCTTACATTTATTGCAGCACTATTCACTATAGCCAAAATATGGAATCAACCTAAGTATCCATCAATGGATGAATAGTTTAAAAAGTCATATTAATACAAAATGGAATATGATCCAGCCACAAAAAAGAATGAAGTCCTATCATTTGCAACAACATAGATGGAACTAGAGCACATTATGGTAAATGAAATAAGCCAGACACAAAAGAACAAATATCACATGTTCTCACTCAAATGTGAGAGCTAAAAATATTGATCTCATGAAGACACACATTAGAATGATGGTTACGAGATGCTGGGCAGGCTAATACGGAGAGGGTAATAAAGAGGAGATGCTTAATGGCCCAAAAATATAGTTAGAAGGAAGAAGATTTAGTGTTCAGTAGCACAACAGAGTGATTATAGTTAACAATAATTTATTGTATATTTCAAAAACCAGAAGAGTAGAATTCACATGTACCCCAGAAAATATATACAATTATTATATATACGTAAAAATTAAAACTTAAAAAAAGAATAAAGAAGATAGTTCCCCTATTTCTAGTCTCTGTGGGAGGGCCTGAGTCTATCAGTTAGCAAGACACAGATGGCCTATCACACTGACCAACCTCCCTCTATGACCAGCAATGTTCCATTGGCTCACCTCAGCATTCACTTTTTGTTTCTGCAGAGTTGCGTTCAATCTCTCTCCCCTGTTGCAATAGTCCTTCTCCCCTATTTAGATGAAAAGTCTTCCTTGCCATCTTTAACAAGTGTTCCATGCAATTTTTCTTTTATAAGGAAAAGTAATTTAGTACCACTGAGTGCCTGCATGTGCGTTTTTATGTTACTCTAATAATAACTCAAGAATAATGTGAGAACGAAAACTCCAAGAGGCCAAGTAACAAAAATAAACAAACTTAGTACATAGTAGAGTAGGATTTCAAACCATCAGCTCTGTCTTTGTAAGGCCAAGTTTTTTCTCTCTCTATGTAAGGGAGAAAATGAATGGCAGAAATGAGCTATGTAAAAATGTAATTGGAGAGAGATCAATTTTAAATGTATTTTTCTTATATAAAACATGTATCATAATCAAAATTGGATTTTCTATTTTGAGTGCAACTATAGGTGCTTTTTTAGTATTCATTTGCTTGGCTACTTCTCCATTTAAAAAAACCTTGCAAATTACCAACATATTCACCCTTCTTTCTGCGTTCATTTCACATTGTATGATTTATGAACCATCTTTTGGAAATCTTTTGTTCTCCTCTCATTTAAGACCTTTGACAACCAATATTCCTCCTCCCCCACCGAAATCCCCAGCTGTAGCAACTTTATTGCTGAGGAAGAAAAGCTTGGAGCTATCACCTTTGCTTCCCTCATAGCTCAATGATAGAAATGTGATACTTTTAGTAGCTTAACATCAAAAGGCTTCCTCAAAGCATATATATATATATATAGAGAGAGAGAGAGAGAGATAGAGAGAGAGAGAGAGAGAGAGAAAGAGAGAGAGAGAGAGAGAGAGAGAGATATCAGTAGAAGTGTCCTTAATTTTTTCTAAGTGGTCTGTGGTATGGAACTAATAGAAAGTAGAAAGTCATTTACATAGTGGAATCCCTTAGCATTTATTGGGCTGATATATATTGGCTCTATTGATGTCACATATTAACAAACAACCTTCACTGGAAACAACCATGACTTCCATTATCACTGCAATGATGAAACTCATAGCACCAAAGGTTGCTGACCAAACTCTTATGCAGTTTCCATTATCGATGCAGTTGTGCATCAGTTAGGCTGCATTTATCCTGGAGTAAAAGTCTGAGAAAGATGAGAACTTGGCCAACTAATGCTTCAAAGTGGCAAAACTGAAATATAAGCCTATAACATAACCAAACTCTGATTTTACTCTGTTGACATACACTTTTACATTGGTTTAAAAGGCAGTAGCAAGTTTCCTCCTAGAAAAGCAGAAAAGCAATATACATAAATGGATCAGTCTCAATCCTAGTATGGAATGAGATATGTCATGAGATCCCTGGGAGGTGATGACAAGTTTGGAGACTGGGTTTATACTTTTCTGCTGAGAGCTCTATGAACTATCATGTCTTGGTCTCTATCTCCCTCATAGACATGGTATGAGGATAACATGACATAATTCAAAGGAATATATTTTGAAATAAAAGCTTGGTAAGTAAGGAGAATTATTTTTATTACTAAGAGAATGGCCATCTGTTTCCAAAGAACTCAAGTGAGAACATGACTATTCACTTTATACGGAGTAATTTTCAGATAATGCGTTTTCTTTGCCTCCTGTGTTGGAACATTACTTGAGCTGAAAGACACTCTGTCTCATAATTTTCTGACATGTAGGGCTCTAATTATTTCTAAGGAAGACATCAATTCATATTAACACTAGAAAAATATTGCCATGTCCCGAAATATGCATTTGGGAGATAGGGAGAAGTGGGATAAGAAAGCAAAGATAAAATGAGTAAAAATAATGAGATGAAAACATGGCTGAGCCTCTCGTTTGTAATGCAACATAGCTAGGAAATCACCATGCAAGCTAGTTTTTCACTGTGATTAACCTTCATGGGTCTATTTAACTCCTTGAAATTCATACTGCAATTCTGTCAATTGTACTTATTGCAGCTATTAACAATAATAAGCCTATCTCACTTTGGATATTCATCAACTTAGTTAATATGGCTATTATGATAAAAGGTTCCATGTTTGATGAGAGTCACTGGTAAAACACAATTTATTGTTTAGTTTAAATGCCAACAGAAGCAATAGGATAACATAACTCCACAGACAAGCTAGAAGTCATTATAAACCACTCTTCATATGCAAATATAGTGTTACTAGTCCACCAAGTAGAATATATATTCTCAGGTTCTCTCCCAAGTCAACAAGATTTCCTGATTCATAGACATATTCTAGTCTGGTTCTGCTATGTGAATAAGAAGGCAATGTCAACATTTGGAAGACAACAAACAATTGGAGACAAATATGAACCAGCACCTCTTCAATTCATGGCAGTGAGGTTGATTGTATGGTTTGCAGGTTATTGACTTTCCTTCTCTGACTCCATTAAGAATGGTTCAGTGACTGTCAAAAGTAAAGGTAGACTACTGCACATCTTTAACAGCACAGGTGCAAGAGTTGTGGGAACTGCATCTCCTCCCTTGGTGTTTGCATGAGGCATCACCAGCGTAGAGGTGGTAGTGACATGTGCAGTTACCTCTCACTCTCTCCTTCCTCTATTGGGTGGGTTTATGGTATAAAAACATTATTGTTCCCAGATAGTATGACCTTCTTCTCAGCCCTTGGAGGAGGCTCTCTGTGCTTTCCATCAATATCCTGGGCAGCCTGGCCTCATGGTGTGAAGTCTCAGGTCCTTCAGCTGCTCTTCCTGAATTGTGGGGTGGGGGCAGTTAGAAAATTTAATATGGAAATGGTAGGGGAAGCAGGATGCCCATTTACCTAAAAATGAAGGCCAAGTTCCTTGATTCAGTTCCACCAGCCATAGTCCTAGCCTAAGGCTTGAATCGGTTTTTCAATTGAAGGCAGTATGATGATGACTTTAGAAATCATGACTAAAAAATACAGCAACTTTTGATCAAATGAAGCTCCATTGTTTGTTTCTCTTGTTACCTCGTTATTTATATATTAGATATGGATTCAAAGATCACCGAATCTACTGACACGGATAATTGAAACTTGGCTGTGGTTTTTAGTAACATCAGGCAGTAAAGTTGATTACCTTCCCTTTCCCTCTGTTGCCAAATGTTGGCAGTGTCTACCAGGTCAGTCAGAGCAGGCTTGCTGCAGTGAGAGAGAGTTATAAGCAAAGGCACAGAAACAGAAATGACAGAACGTCACCAAATAGATTCCTGATTTTTCTCAGTAATGATGTTATCCATGATGAATTGAACAAGGTGATATAGAATATGAAAATATGGAATATAAGTTTTATCACTGAAATCAGGATTTTCAAAACACACAATCTTATTTATTAGCAAAAAGGGACAAAGATTGGTATTCAGATATATGTCAAACTGTTTCACCTTCCAGGAAACAAACAAACAACAACAACAAAAAAAACAACTAGGAATTGAATTGTTATATAACCCAGGCAGTATCTCTCATCAAGCGTTATCAAGAAACCAAATGTGAACATTTCCAGCCCCACTGCACGGATTTTATCTTCATTATATAAGTACCATATGTGTAAGTCTTATTTTAAGAGCTAACAGTGCACTGTCCTAGTAGAATGACACGTGAAAAAGATTCAATGTGGGAAGTGTCGGAGCGAATTGTAGAGAACCCAAAGGCTGCAGCTTGCCATCAAAGGCTCTATATTAGGTAAGAGACAGCATTTAGTTGAATCACTTTCACTTTCTTGCCCCTCTGCTTGGCATGTTGAAATATTCCACTTCTATTTTTCTCCATCTGTCCTATTTACCTTGTAACTCCACATGCAAATTTAGGTACAGCTAAATATATAATAGTTTTTGAAATATGACTTATGAAATGTGCATGTGTTAGAAAAAGATTCAGATTGTCAGAAAACATTTTATACCTCTGAATCTATCTTTGTAATAGAGCTTATTCTCTTTAGTTCAGATAAATCCAACGTACAATGTACAGAAAACATCACTGCATTCTAACACTTAAAAAAAAAATTAAACAAGCTATATCAATCAGAATACAGTCAAGAAAACAGAAACCTCTCCAGGTGTTTTGAGGCATGGAATTTTATTATAAGGAATTTGTTAAGCAAGTAAGAGAAGGCTGAGGAGACGAAGAGGGAACAGTGATACATCCAAGAGATTAGCAATAGGAGGAAGATGCCACCACCAACATTTTTGGCAGACCCTCAAAATTTGTGCTACCCTCCCCCCTGGAAAAGGAGGAACTCTGATCTGGGCTCCACGTTTTAAAAAATCCTACTCTGTTCCTTCCTGTCTATGTTCTTTCCGACAGAAGAAACTCCTGGGTCAAGAAGACATAAACACCCAGATCCCATCCCCCCACCCCCTTCCAGACTGTGCTCCAGGTGGGTAGGTCCCCGGCCTTCTCTACCCAAGTGGATGACAGACTTCATCCACTTTCCCTGAGTCTATCGTCACTTTATCAGCACAGAACCCCAGAGCCACAAGGTAGCCAAGAGGCTGTAGCTGTTTACAAATGGGGAGGGAGTAGCTAGGGCTTGGAATGTAAGATCTGTAGTGTCCATGTGAATGCAGTCAAGACTCTTTAGAGAACGAAATGGAGCCAAGAGAAAGTGAATAGGTATGGGCCACAAGCCTGAAACCTGAGTCTGAAAATTCTAAATTTGAACCTGGACTTGCAGCCTTAGCTCTCTTTGAGAAACGTAAAGGGTCAACACCCGCCACGTTGTGAAATTGGAAGCACTTGTGGACAGGGAATTCTTAGTTTGAACTAGTGTCCCCATTCAGAAAATCCTTTTAGTTCCCAGACAGAGGTGTTTAGAGAGGACTAAGGTAATGAGTAGCCAAGCCTCGGGTCTAGGAAATAAGAACCTCTACCCTCCCCTCCACTCCTTAATAAGTAAGAGAAAGTGGGTGTTTGTCTCATGGATTCCCAAGCAAGGTATTTTTTTAAATGTCATTATAAAAATGTTTATCAAAATAGAAAAAAAAATCGAAAATACTTTTAACAATTTGTATTTGATTTATAACTTTTAAACATGAGACATAGATGTATGGGCTTTCTTTTGTCCCCTTGCCCCCTGGGGCCTGCAAATGTTGGAACAAGTTGGCCAAAGTCCAGCAGCTGGAGCCATGCAGTAGGAGATAGACCCATGGTGGGGAGCTGCCAGGTAGGAATGTGACAGTGGAGGGAGGGGCAGTCCAACAGGAACCAGAATCACAGAGGAGATGCAGCTGCTCTAAGCATAGAAAGAGGTTGAGAACACATGGACACAGGAAGGGGAACATCAAACTCTGCGGACTGTTGTGGGGTGGGGGGACGGGGGAGGGATGGCATTGGGAGATGTACCTCATGCTAGATGACGGGTTAGTGGGTGCAGCGCACCAGCATGGCACATGTATACATATGTAACTAACCTGCACATTGTGCACATGTACCCTAAAACTTAAAGTATGGTAATAATAAAAAAAAAAAAGAAAGAGGTTGAGAGAAGTACTCTGACTTCTCATTGCTTCCTCCCTCATATCTCCCTACAGTGGATCTCATTGGTGGAACCTGCCCAGAAGCCAACAGGCAGCAGAGTCTGACAAATGTAGTTTCCTATGACCTGGAGCAGAGCAGAAAAAGGGGTGGGGAGTGGAAGGAAGTAAGAATGGACAGACAAGGAATGCCATATAAAACAAATATATCAACAAATGCATTCATATACAAACTAATGCATTCTGCTGAGTGCTACTTTATCTAGTTCAGGAACTCTGAGAAAGGAGAATATACAGGATGCTTTTCTTTGTCCTATATATCAATTATTTTCCAAATAAGGGAAGGAGAATTGGGATGACCTGGGGGGTAATTTGCAGCCCCTCACTATACTTCTTAATAGTAATTATTCATCCCATTATCTCTAGGAAATGTTTGTGCAGAAGAAAAAAAAATATCTTTCTATCTGTCCTGAGGAAGTTCATGGTTGAGGCATCTAAAACAAAATTTAAAAAGAGAAAAGCATACAGATGTATTTAATATAAGTTTTACAAGACATGGGAGTCTTCATAAGGAAATTAAGATGTAAAGAAATAGTTAAACCTATAGATTTTTATGCGAGGTTTGATGACAAGTAGACAGGGAGAAATTGACAGGGCAGGAAACAGTATAATCTAATGGTAATAAACTAGAGAAAACTTGGCAAGGCTTGTTTTTTCAGATTTTTCTCTGTGACCCTTCATCTTCAGGGATAAGGATATTCCTTTCCTCTCGGTATAGGGAGGGCACCTCTCACATGAGGGTCTTATGACTTGTTTCAGGGCAAGGTCAGAAAATCCTTCTTAGGTTTTATGATCTGCTTCAGGGAAGAAGAGTGGGGAGAAGGTTAGCAAGTCCTTCCTGCATGTGCTCTTTATCAAATTCCTTTAGTGTAAAATAGTTAATATGCCAATGTACCATATTTTGGGGGTAGTGTATCCTGAACCCCTTCATTTGCCATGAGGTTAGGGTCTGCCACAGGCTCTCCTTATTGAAGAAACCCCAATATATATAAAATCAGACAGTTTCCCTAAACTGGGCTTCAGGTTAAGGAATATAGAAAATGTTTTTATGAGTAACCCAATTCTGAATATTAAAAATAAATGCAGTTACTTACTGCTAATGATACTAAGGGCGTTAGAATTTGTAATAATTATGAAAAGCTTAAATAAGAAACAGCAAGGTGTTTTGGGAAAACTACAGATTCTACCTTTGAATCCTAGTTCTGCTGCTTATTAATGGTTGTTATACATTTTCAGTGAATTACCAAACCTCCTTTCACCTTAGTGCTCTCCTCTTTGAAATAGGAATAATAGTATCAACATACTTAGCTACAAGTTATAATTCATGCGTTTATATACTCTAATACATGGCTGTCATATAGTACATGCTCAAGTAATGCTTAATAATAATGATGATAATAATCACAGTAATAATAATAAAGTGAGCATTATTGGAATTCCGAGAATTATATGAAGGTGGGCACATACAGGGCTAAATTATCCCTCACTTTTATTCCTCAGCAAAGCAAATGAAAAAAATCTCAAAAAATTAATCCAAGAAGCATTAGGAAAAGGATGACAAAGCTTCCTTTAGAAACCCATTTCCAGTTTTAAATATTTTATTCCTCACTGCTGATCTTAATGGTTGAACTCAAATTTTCTGTCTATATAATCAGATATGACTAAAAGCGAAAGCTGAATATAAATAGAACAGCAGGTATTATTCTGATAAAGGTAATTATCTTTGGCCTAGAATTATAAGGAAAAAATACTAGATGCCTAGAAAACTTATTTTGAGTAAAGGTTGACCTTATGTACTTGTTTCAGAGATTTTCATGTTAACTGAAACACTAACATATCTTTAAAAATTATTATTTTCTTAAGTAGTTTCATTCTGTCTGTGATACTGCTATATATGATAGACATATGGCTAGAAAACTTATTAGCTAGGGTAAAATGTATTTACTTATTTGTTTGACATAAACACTCTGCTTTTATTATTGTATTTGGGGTTTGCCAGAGAAAAACTATGTGATAGAATTATATGAGTATGTAAAATCACACATTCTGAATTCAAGGAGGCTTAGTCATATACTGACAAATATAATTAAAGACTTAGAAACTGATTTGGGTTGATAAGCAGCTATCCTTTATTTGAAACCACAAGTGACCTGTGCTTGTATGTTTCTCTCTCTATTTCTCTCTCTCTCTCTCTCTCAGTCTCAATTTCTCCCCGCTCCAAACTCCATCCCTCAAGGGTTAATGTTTTGCCAACTCTGAGACCAGCTCCTGCTACCAATTATTTTAGATCTACCACTGCAGCAACTTCTCCTTTGTGCGATGGCTGCTTTCCTGTTTCTGTCACTCCCTTCTGTAATTAACCTTGCTATTCTTAGCTACAAAGCACAGATCTTGTGCCAGGCTTCTTCAGAATTCTATTTTATATTTCAATGGCCGGTTACTGTCTGATTTTCTCCAGGGAAGGGTCTATAATCACTCAGTTATATTAATGATGAGGATGACTCAAACCCTCCCCACCACTCTCCTTTAGTATGCCTCACAATTAATCCTCTGAGCTTAGCAACTTGAACTGAAATGGCTTACTTGCAGCCAGATGTGCCACAATTCTGGTCCTGAGGTGTGTGTGCATCAGTAACCAGTGAAAACACAAGCTTCCACTAAGAAAATCCAATGTTTGTGGGTATCCAATCCTCCTTTCCTCACAACTGAGAGGCTGTGCACACTTCTGAGAAGAGGTGATTCTCTAATGGCTGTGCCACACACTGACTCACATCACCGCAGTGTGCCAATTCTGTGATATGGCGGCAAACGAGATGTGGCAGAGTGCAGCACCTTAGTCGGTGATGAACACAATTGGAAAACCAGCGGAAAGCCAGAGAGACTGCTTCCCTGGCTCAGCCTATTTAGGCACCTGTCTGTAGTGGAGGTGAAACTGTAGGGCCAAGGATGTTTATGGGAACAGAAAAGCACGCATTCATTTGCCAAAGATCAAATGCCTTGGTCCAGGTTTGTCATACTCATGACACCTAGCTAAAGCTTTCTTTGGTGCCATGGGCATGCAGGTGTGGATGAGGCATAAAATAGGGCCATGTAACTAGTGGGCTGGAGGTGAAATAGGTGTGATTGCAAAGGAAAGTCTGGGGCAAAACCGTAACACCTGAAATTAAATCTGTCCTTGTTGAATTGTGAAGGTGTGGAGGCAATGACTCCTCCTTCCACTCTTGGATCAGAGTTCTATGAAAAGTGCTAAAGTGAGATTTTTGGTTGTTTTGACAACCAAACAATCACATTTTTGGTTGTTTTACCTTTATTGAGATACACATCTTCTCTTCCAGTGGAAGAAAGTTGTGTTAGGGCCTCCTGTATGTGAAGGTATTATTTAGGTGACTGTCTTAGAGATGTGATGTGTGAGGCAGCTCAAGACTCTAACACTTCAAACTTATCTCTTTATTCTGTGATGTGCTGCCATCTTCTTTTACAATTGCTTTAAAATTTCTACCATTACTTCTATTCTTTTGGGTAGAAAACTGGACGCTCTCAGGAGATCACCCCTGAAAAGTCCTTGTATTAAAAAGCCTCAGGATAGGGACCCTTCTCTCCAATTATTTCATTAGCTATCTTTTTATAACGCAAATAGAACACAAAGGGAATAAACACCAGGTTTATTGGGTTGGGGGAGGGTTGGGGGTGTACACACAAATGGAATGTCATGGGAAAGGAAGTATGGAGTACAAAAGAGAAGCGTGTTCCTTTGCAAGTTGGCTCTGCTTGTACCAATAACACCACCTTGACATATAAGAAAACCAAGTTGATATAAATCATTTTTTCAACCATTCCACACAGAGAGATTCCACTGTTATCAACAGAAATTTTCTAGAAGACCTGAGGGAAAAGCCTTTAATTAAAAATAAACACCTACACTGTGAAAGCCAAAGCCACACACCTGCCCAGGAAGTACACCAGTGTTGAAGCTAATAACTCCCTTGGGGAGACACATCTGCAAGAATTGTGATTGGATTGTTGAAACTTTTAAAATTCTATCAAGCTGTAACAATATAAAAAGAGTTGAGTAAAATTTCATTTCAGTTTCTGGAGAATGGTAAGCAATAAACTTGAAGGACAGAAAAATGTTTCAATTTCAGTACAAAAGGCACTGTCAGAAACCAAGTTTTGGGTTGGTTCCAAGTCTTTGCTATCGTGAACGGTGCTGCAATAAAAAGAAAATGTGGTACATATACACCATGGAATACTATGCAGCCATAAAAAAGGATGAATTCATGTCCTTTGCAGGGACATGGATAAAGCTGGAAACCATCATTCTCAGCAAGCTAACACAGGAACAGAAAACCAAACACCGCATGTTCTCACTCATAAGTGGGAGTTGAACAATGAGAACACATGGACACAGGGAGGGGAACATCACACCCCGGGGCCTGTTAGCGGGTGGAGGGCTAAGGGAGGGATAGCATTAGGAGAAATACTTAATGTAGATGACAGGTTGATGGGTAAAGCAAACCACCATGGCACATGTATACCTATGTAACAAACCTGCACGTTCTGCACATGTATCCCAGAACTTAAAGTATAATAAAAAAAATTAGTGTCAAAAAAAAAATGAAACAAGTTTTATTGCTACTGCATGTTCTAGTCACCCACATAACAAAACAAAATGAGAATTCAAATATCCATATTTTTTAAAGTAGATTTCTAAAAGTTCCTACATAGTTTAAAGTAACTGTATCTGAACAAAGAAAACAAGAAGGACTGCTATTGAGATTCCTGGAGATATTATATATTCACCAGAATTTCTCAGTTATGGAAAAGATTCAAATTAAAATTCAGGTAATTTACGTAAGTCACTTTTCTTCCACAAGACCAATTCGATATGACATTACTAGAGGAGGAATTGAGGCAAATTCATATTCAAAAGATGTGTATAATGAAAGAGTATGAGATGTGGTGTCCCAGGCACCTGGGTTTAAATCTTGGCTCTATCATTTTTCATTTCTCTCCATGAGCTTAACCTTCGTGGTTCTCAGTTTCCTCAAGTGTGAAAAAATGGGGACATTGCAGTGGTTCTGGGTTCTTGTGAAGTTTTAATAAATCAATATTTGTGAAGATACCTAGTTTGATGCCTGTTACATGTAGATTCAGTTTGTTTTTTTTCCTTTCTGTTACATGTAGATTCAGTTTTTTTTCTTTTTCTCATTGCAATCATTCCTTCCATGAGAAATGGTGTTGAACATTGGTGTAAGTTATTTTTTAAATAAAATTCACATGTAAAGAGTTTTCCTACTGTCCTCTCAATCTTGAGGAAATCTCAATTCCTCTGGAGACTGAAGAGATTTTGCTATCACTTTTCACTTAGTAGTTATTATTTGCTCTGTGGGTAAGTATTAAAAAACAGGTACAGAGTGGACTCAGAAATTGAACACAAGTGGCATAAACTTGAAGGGCAGAGGTAAAACATGCACATAAAAAACACATACACCACATGCATGCACAGACTCAAGAAACTGACCTTCAAACTGTCTTCATTTTTTCTTTACACCAACTTAAGATGTTTGTGCAATACAAAACATTATATGATGTGAATATAGGATACCTAGAGCTGCAAAGTTTGAAATAGCTGTTCATATGAAATGGTTCAGTGGACAAAGCTTCATGCTTTACAGGCACTTGATAAATATTAGATTAGAGAAAATCAGCAATGTGTTAGTTACACTAACATTAAACTCATCAGAGAGGTCAATAGTTGAACACTAACATTACATATTTAACAGCAGTGGAATTATATAGTAATTTAATTCTCAATAGCATGTGAAGAATTTACAACTTTATTTTTTTTAGCAGTTGGAATGTTCATTTTCTTTTCTTACAATAGCCTGTTTCCTAAGAGTTAGGTGGATTCCCAGGTGGATTTAAACATGGTGACTTTTAAAACACCATATTATTTTTTAATTCAAGTTTCTAGTTTTGAAAAGACTCCAAGACAGTTTCTCCCTGATCTAATATTTTGGATGGCAACAGCTGCATTCTCTACTTGGATCCGGAGTCATTTTTTGGCAGGCCTTCCTCTGGACCTGTGGATGTACTGCTCATTCTAGCATCACCTGCCAGCCTGGTCTCGCTGCACCTGCAATGTCTGGCACACAGAACCTTTGTTGATATGACAATTTAAAAGGCACAAGTAAATAGCATCTTCTTTCTAAGTTGGGGTTCTCACACTGCTGTCAGACATGAACAGTTGAAAGTAGAAAGCAAGAGGGCCCAGGATTAAGGGGGGAGAAAGTAGGATGGAAAAGTTGGAAAGGAGAATATTAAAGCAAAGGAAAAGAGAAGGGAAGGGAGTGCAGATCAGATGAGGGAGAGAGAGATTAAGCAAATATTCAAGAGAAATGAGAAAACACAAAGTTTAGAAATTAGGGATATACTTCTGAAAGGTGCCTGGAACCAGGAAAAAAAAATAATTAAGAATGAGAACTGTCAGGAAAAAGTAGCCAATGCCAGACTTTCCTTAGAAAATTGTCTTCTTTATCTACTCTTCCTTATTCAGCAGACTATTTTGTAGAAGCAGAAGTGGAACAAGAATGGTCTAAGGTAACTAGAAGGCCCAAGTTTCAAAAGTGACAAACCCAGTATGAGTGGGGGCTGTATTGGAAAGCACAGGCATGAAACCTTTGCCTCCTTTAATCAGAGAAACATTTAATTACAGTAAACCTTTTGTTTTACCTAAAGCCAGGTAGACTTATGTTGGTAGAAGCACTAGACTGGCATCTGTCTACAGGTTATGAGTAAGAAGAGAGGCCAGAGTCAAGCAGAAGGTCTGTGCTGGGAAGAGTTTGAGCTAAGGCTGGACAGGGGTACAGAGTAGGAGAGCATGCAGAATATCAAATATAGTTAGAGGGTTGCAAGTAGTTCTTGAACAGGAGACTGCCACAATGATAGTACTATTTTATTTATTTATTTATTTATTTTTAAGATGGAGTCTCGCTCTGTTGCCCAGGCTGGAGTGCAGTGGTGTGGTCTTGGCTCACTGCAACTTCTGCCTCCCGGGTTCAAGCAATTCTCCTGCCTCAGCCTCCCAAGTAGCTGGGATTACAGGCACCTACCACCATGCCCAGGTAATTTTTGTATTTTTAGTAGAGACAGGGTTTCACCATGTTGACCAGGCTGGTCTCGAACTCCTGATCCTCCCATCTCAGCCTCCCAAAGTGCTGGGATTACAGATGTAATCCCACTGCACCTGGCTGACAGTACTATTTTTAAAAGATTACTATGGAAATCAGGTGGAGGACGACTAGAAGTAGAGGAAGCTCTGAGGCTGTTGCAGTGAGCCAGGTTTGTGGAGACAGAGGTAAGGGAGACTAGACTACAAATGAACTTATCAAGAGGCAGCATCATAGGCTAGTTTCTGTTCTCTTTCTTAAGTACTCAGTGTATAGTATCTATTTCCTTTTGCAGAATTTCTCTTTAGACTTCTTGATCATTGGAACTATTACTACTGTCAATCCCTATGGATTATTTAAACATTTATGCCTCTTAGACAAACAAACCTGAAGTAGGAACCGATATATTCTAAAGCATTCTTTGAGCATCTTATAACTCCACAAAGGTGTTATGTGTTTTTTTGATTGTCAACTTTAATCATTTTTTCATTCTTGATGAATAGCTGTATTCCTAATGCTTTTTTCTCTGGAATATCTTGCCAATTTTATGTGTTAAATCCAAACTTTATTTTATTTCTGATGTGTTTTTCTTGTACTTCTCAATCTTCCCTGCTGTTTTTCTGCACCTACCAGAAAGCCCATTACAATAATCTTTTTTTTTTGTTCCCTCAAAGTTTTTAATAAAGAGGATTAAACTGGAGAACAAAACAAATTAATTACATATTAGTAACTAGACATTTTGAGAAGCACCTTCAGTCAATTGTCAGGTTAAGTGGCAAAATTCATAATAAATCAACTTAAAATCAAGGTTTTTTTTAGGTTAAATACATAATGTCAAGGGAAACAAAGTCCTGCTTCAATTTGCATTTCCAGTCCTTTTAGAAAGATTCAGAGAAAGGGCCAGATGTTGAAAAGTAGTAACCAGGGCTCCTTGCCCAATTTTATGTGATGCCTTTGGGATCTTTGTTGAGTGCTTGGCCAAGCTTACAGTCTTAAGTCTGACAGTTTACAACGCTTTTAAATTGCCTCGGTAGAAATCACAATGCCGGTAGTCAAGCAGATCAAGTCGGCTGATATGATTGTATCTCTGACCTTTACCAAGAACACAACAGGGATCAATTATTTTCATTGTCTGATGGATTCAAGAGGAAGCCTGGACTACAAATGTAGTGGAAAAAATACGATGACTATGTGCAAAGTGTACGCATCAAGGTGGTGTGCCAGAGGGACGAGATGAAAGGTAAAAGGGGATGAGGGGCAACAAAGAAAAATCTGAGGATTCTGCTTCAGGCCAGCACTGCCAGGCAAGGTGAAGGGTGATAGATGATCCATTCTACTCTGTTTCTGACATGACTCCAAGTATAAATCTCAAGAACAATGAGAATTAGAGCTTCTTTATCACCTTATAGAACAGTAGCAAACGTAATTTTGGGTAAAAGAAAGAGGCATCGTTCCAGGGCCCCTTTTGTGGAATAAGCTAGCAGCCCATGAGTCACGGTTGTTTTTCCTCTTTTCAGGGAAGAGCTTACAGAGTATAGTAACTTCTCATGCTGCTGTATTTTAATGGGGGAATATGTACAAGTACAAAGCTCAGCCATTCAATTGACACCGCTGCCTAAACATGCTTTGTTGTTCTGTTAGCATCACAGTTCAAAATGCTAATGCCGCACTTGCTTGTACTGAGATTTTTCTTAGATTATCTGCAAATCTATTTGATTGCATATCAAATGAAGTGGACTACACATTGGTTTACTGAAAAGAATATTCACAGAACCAAAGTGAACCAATTTTTTATGACTCTTTGTAATCATAGCTGCTAGTTATGGCTTTTTTTTTTCCATAAGCCAACCAATGTGCTAAGCTTTTTTCATGAGAGGAAAAAACTGAGGTATGGAGAGATCAGGTAACTTGCCAAAGTTCACGCTGTCACAATTTGAATACAGATCCCAGCACAAGGAGCCAAAGCAATGTCTAACTCCTCTGGGAAGTCTTGCCTGGTGGAGTGAAGAAGCCCAGTCTTCCCCTATCCAAGAGTGGAAAGGCCTCTACCCAAAAATATGGCAACTGTTAAAAGATCAGCTGGGAGGCAGGAGCTCCCTCTCCAATCCTTGAGAAAAAGGGTGAAGCATGAAATTGTCTGCAGGCCCCAGGTCTGGGCTGCTCTCTGGGGTATCATGGGCATATCAGTCTTACTTCATTTTCATTACAATCTAATCTCTTCCCCAAAGCATTTTCTAATTGTGTCACTACCCTGTTACAAAACAGAAGCAAAAACAAATATCTTTTAATATATCTCCCAGTCCCCTTGGCAATTTCCTAGAGAATAAAATTCCAATTATTTTTCCAGGCTTATCTTCTTTTATTCCACTTCTGACATCCTGAGCTTGGAGCAGCCACTGGACTGCTCACAATCATTCTGTAAATTCTTTGGGTTTTTTCCTTTGCACCTTTGCCTTCTCATTAGTTCACTTCCTCATGGCCCATCTCTTTTATTTTCTATCCATCCTGTCTATGCTAGCTCAAATGTCCTTGATCTATTCTCACACTCCTACTTCTACTCTCATAGAATTTTAACAGAACCTCCTGACTTTCAGGTATCTTATCAAGCTTTGTATGATAACATGACTGTCTTTCTATATTTTAAGCTACTTAAAGGCAGAAATTATTCTATGCTCATTTGTTATAATTCTTACATGGTACCTAGTGATTTACGAGTATTGATTTAATGTGTAATATACTTGTTATGCATGTTCCCACCCCATAGATTCACGTTTTGTTCTAAGAAGCTTATAGTCACCCAATAAATATTGGTTAGCTTAAGCCTCAGTAGTTTCATTATTAATCATTTTACATATTTTCCAACATCACCACCTGTCCTTAATAAAAAAACAAACGAAACAACAAACTCCTTATAACTTTGACATAAGTCCTATAAGTACTTTATGAAACTGAGAATTTTTAAAAATCAAATTCTGAAGAATCATATTACTTAGATGGAGTGACCTAAGTATATTTCAATTCACTTTTGACAAAAGTAATTTAGACTCTCCCGTGCCTTCATTAAATTTGTCTCTCTTTTAAAAAAATATTTTTATGAACTGGTGGCTATACATAGGTTGGGGCATTTTTGTACTGCTTTTTTTATTTGGTGTCTGTTATCCTTTTAGTCTCACAAAGCCCATCTCATCATTTAGTTCTGGGAATAAGCCTCAAGCATCTTATGCCTTTTCAAAACGGTGGGTGGATTTCTATGTAAGCAGCTTTTAAAATCAGACGTTCAAATCCTGATATTCATTTTATTTGCCAAATGATTCTCATTTGGAGACATTGCTCTTGAGAAAACAGAGTGGGATGTGGAAGCAAAACCCCCTGAGAGACTGGGAGGGGAACACCTTTTCATTCTGAGCTCCTGGTACGCATGGCAGCCCTTTGGTGAGAGCACAATGCGAGCCAGACTTTTATCTTTATGAGCCTGCAAGGTAGTCAATTACCTTGAGAGATACCCCAGTGATGCTTTAGTCTTTCCCTTTCCCACTGACATGCCCAAATCAGGATGACAATAAATTCTGAAAAAAGCTAGTTTAGCCTGGACATCAGGGATTTACTTTTCCCTCCAGTGTTATGATATACTGTGCTGAGTTTAATGAATTTTACTTAATTCCTTGTCATAGCTATCTATTATGTAATTTCAATTGGCACCCAACACAGAGTAATGCTTTTGTGTTTTTCTGAAAGAGTGGATTCTCCCCAAAGGAATCCTTCTCCATGGCCTCACTTAACTAATCCCTCCAGAATCTTGGCAGGATGGACTGTGCTCTAATCCAGAGCAGTTTTGCCAGTACCATGTGGGATTCATATTTGAGAGAACTTAGAGCAATGTAGGCTGAGGTGCAGCAGGTGCAGATGGGCTAAAAGCTTAGACCCTCCTGATCCACCAGAGCCAGGCCTCTAGAATTTGCAGAAAGAGGGGCAACTGCTCTGTAATATGGCTCATCTCTGCTATGTTGGGTTTCTATGAGCAGCATTACATTCAGATTGGGTGTCAAATTGTTTAAGGGTCTCTCAGAACACCAAAGGTTTCCCTCCTCCAGCTTCCTACTTAGTCTATTGAATGTTTCCTGGAAAATGAGTAGAAACACTAATGTTCTATGAATCAGTATTTGTGTCTGAAGATAGGCTCAAATTTTCTAATAAATGTGGGCAAGAGCCTGATAGTCTATCCCTGTTGTACCCACTGTGTGGGCAGAGGATGTTTTCACCACTCTTTCAGGACACATTTGACCAGCAGAAAAGCAACCACAAAGAAGACCTGAATCAGAAAACATGCTCCAGTGGAAATGTATGCTCTAAATTACCAAACAAAGTTGTTCTATGGTCTGTGGCTCAATTAAATGCTGTGAGGCTGCCTGAATTGCTTAGTTCTCCAGGTAGTATTGTCCTTTTGACTAAGCTTTCATACTAATTAATTGGCCTGCTGCTGTATTTCAGGAGGGGATTCTGAAAGACTGGTTACTAGGACATTTTAGTTTGATAGAAAGCAGATCCTAATGAGATTCTGTTTCCTGTTACAGCGAATTAGGTATTTTCTTTTTTCTTTTGTATTATGTTCCTTACATATATATATATATTTTTTTGTAGTTACAGAAGCATGTAATTTTGCTTTGCCATTAAAGCCTGCCTGAGGTGTTTACTGTTTAGAGCTACAGGATAGCTTTGTCTTTGAGAACTGGGTTACATATTGTGTGCCAGGCATTGTGCTGAGGTTTTGGAATTAGAAAAATTGATTAAAACCTGTTCCCTACTCCTAAGAAATAAAAGAAAATATTTGGATGGCACTTGCTATGTTTGTATCAGGCTTTCTTCTAAGTGCTTCACATACATTAACTCATTTAATCTTCACAATATTGCCGTGAAGTAGATTTATTATTATCTATTTATTACTATTATTCCCTTTATATGTATAAGTCTAATGGGGCACAGAGAAGTTAAAACACTTGCCCGAGGTCACACAGATAAGAAATGATGGAGCCAGAATTCAAAACTCGGCAGTCTTAGGCTGGTGTCTTTGCTTTCAACCACAATATAATACTGCCTCTCAGGAAGACACAGACTGAAATCAAATATATGTAGGGCAGTGAGACAGGTTCCACAATAGGTTGGGGGTGACAAATGGGACGCAGGTCAGTTCTACCTCGTGAGATGAGGGGATGATTTAAAACTTGATAGCCACAAGTCCCGAGTGCCTTGTGGCTTTGTCCACTGACTTCCACAGGCCATCTGGCCTTGGGCTTCCATTATAATGAGGAATATTCTCCTGCATACAGCAGAATAGAGAGCAAACTTTGAAAACCAGAAACATATATTTTTGCAAGTCTCAGTTTCTTTCCCTTCCTCCTTGCTCTGGCTGTCAGCTCTCTTTTGAGGAATGTAGCTCCTGCCGATGACTAGGGAGCCCAGCCAGAAAACAGGAGCGCAGACGCCTCACAACCGTGGGAGGCCTATGACTGACTACAGCAGCTGAAAGCAGTAGGAGGCTTTTCTCTAATACATTTTTTTTTCTTGTTGGAGGTTTTTGTTAGACAGACAAGATACCAAGAAGGAGTACTGGCTACCTAGTATAAAAAGATGAAATGTGAGGGTAGTTTCAGTTTCATACAAGTGAACAGGTTTTTCCTCGGTCCTCCCAGTATCTCCCTCCTTAATTTCTAGGCTGAGGACAAACCTAGCATCTCTCATTAACGGGCTGGATTCTATAGGCTTAGAAATCAGGCATATCAGGCCAAAAGAGGTCTACATTTTATGTGGATTGGTTAGGCCAACAGGTATTAATCTTGACAATGGTAATGTCAGGATGAAGCATATTTCTCAAAAATTTCAAAAATAGTTATTCTAGAGAGTACAAATATATATATGTATAATTACAGTCTGATAGTGCAGAATCAACTGAAGTAAAATTTTAAATGTAGGCAAGAAAGCATCATTACTTAAGAAATAGCTAGGTAAATACACACACACACACACACACACAGCATTCTTGACTAACAAATTTTCGCCTTTACGATGGTGTGAAAACAATACATGTTGGGTAGAAAATGGAATGCTCCCACCATTCTGGGCAACAAGAGTGAGCTGCAGCTTCCAGTCAGCCACATGATCACAACTGATACTCCGTAGTGCACTGTGTTGCCAGATGATCTTACTCAAGTGTAGACTAATGTAAGTGTTCTTAGCACGTTTAAGGTAGGCTAGGTTAAGCTATGATGTTCAGTAGGTTAAGTGTATTAAATGCATTTTTGACTTAGGATCTTTTCAGCTTACAATGTGTTTATTGGGACATCACCCCATCATAAGTTGAGGAGCATATATATATATATATATATATATATATATATATATATATATATATATACATATGTATTTAATATGCCATATGAGGTGTTGAGGAAGTGAGAAGTGAATTCTTGAAACAGAATTCTTGTTATAGGAATGCAAAGATCAAAACTTTTTTTAAAGCTTTCATTTTCAAGTATTCCATGAATTTTCTTACATGGTTTTAATATCTAAATATGATATTAATGATAGTTTAAATATAGTGATCATGTTCCTCTATGCCAGGTATTGGTTATGTATATTTTGTATTATCTTTAATTCTCAGAATAACCTTCTAAGACAATATTATTACTCCCAATTTACAGAAAACAAAAACAAAAACAAAACTGAGACCAAATCAGAAAGGATAGAAAAGCATAGAGTCAGGAAGTTGAACCTGGAACCCATGGTCTTCACCAGGACACTGCTCTGGTTCTTACAGCAAACAATGAATAAATGTTCACTGATTTTTGCCTGAACATGCTTGTAATGTCTTAAGTCCAAAAGAGTCACAGGTTCAAAAGGGTTAATATAGAATTTGTTGAAATTATGCTTAGGTTAGCTATCAATGCTATTCATAAAAATACACATTGGGCAATATGAAGAGATGAAAATATCATAAACAATGGGGGGGAATAATGTACAAGATAACAGAGGAATACTAATATCTCAATTGTCATATTGAATTAATTCACCCCTAATATACTGCTGTTACGCATCATAAGGAGTTATCAGGGCTCACTGAATTAAGTTATCTTATAATTAACATTTTTTAATGTCTTGATGAAGGGAGGATGAAGTTATGGCAAAGTGTTTCTTGCTTTCTCATGAAAACAACGATCAGAATGTATGAATACTTTTATTGTGTGAAAAGATTAAAACTTTTTTTCCAAGATGCCTTGTTGTATTGAAAATGCTAAAGATCACTAAGTGTATCTCTGTGTGCATAGACACTGGAATCCTATAAGTATGAATTTTGCATCTCAAAGCCCTATTATTTGAAGAAATATTTTCCCTCAAAGGCATGTTCAGAAAGAATCAATAAGAAGAAAAGCACCTTATGTGCAAAGGAGAATATTAGTATAAACAAGTGCAAGTGTTTCCAAGCTCAGAACACTATTCACGGTATAGAGTGCAGTAATGAAATAGCAGTAACAATAATAATAGTTAATATCTTTTAAGTTCTTACCATGTGCCAGATACTTTTCAAAGCATTTCACTTGTAGTATATCATTTAATACTTACAACAAGACTATAAGGTGGGTACTATTATCATTTTACAGATTCTGAAACTAAAGCAAGAGTGACCAAGTAATTTTCCCAAAGTCTGTGGGCAAGTGGTGGAGTCAGGGAACTATACTACTGGGCTTGTGTTCTTAATCGCCATTTCTCTTTTTTCTTAATAATAACAACAATAATGATAATACAAATAATAATTGGAGGTGGGAGAAGCATTAGCTCTATAGAAATCCATAGCAGCAGATCATAACTCTAAAATGCAGCCAATGATGCCACCTGAAAGCTGACATTGTGGCAACTGAGATGACAGCTGCACACCTTCTGAAGTCCTTTGGGAGTGCTGACTCTACAAATCGATGGGATCTCCTTAGGGTGTGCCAACTCCCTGGTGACTTTATGCAATCTGGTGTCCTGTATTTACCAGTGTACCACATTGTGTTTCTGCTGGATACATATGAAATGCAGAGCAGCAGGTCATGCTACCCATGAGAGAAATGGTGTTGACTAGTGTAGAGCCACATTGCAAAAAGTCAATTTTTAAGTGAAGAGATGGAGTAGAGGCTTAAGAAAGACTAGAGTGGGCCAGGCGCCATGGCTCACACCTGTAATCCCAGCACTTTGGGAGGCTGAGGTGGGCAAATCACAAGGTCAGGAGTTCAAGACCAGCCTGACCAACATGTTGAAACTCCGTCTGTACTAAAAATACAAATATTAGCTGGGCATGGTGGCTCGTGCCTGTAATCCCAGCTACTTGGAGGCTGAGGCAGGAGAATCGCTTGAACCCGGGAGGCAGAGGTTGCAGTGAGCTGAGATCACGCCACTGC